>NC_000001.11:223184587-223371761 GCF_000001405.40 Homo sapiens
AATAGGGTTAACCCTCCAAGAAGACATAGCAATCCTAGATGTATATGCGCCAAACATCAGACCTGCAAATATATAATATAAAAATGGAAAGAATTGAAAAGAAAAATAGATAAATCAACAATAATAGTTGGAGATGTAACATACCTCTCTCAACCATTGACAGAACTATTAGACAGAAATCAACAGGACTATAGAAGAACTAACAATACTGCCAAGCAACAAGATTTAATGGACACGGTAGAACATTCCACCCTACAACAACAGAGTACACATTCTTTTCAAGATAGGCCATAAAATAAACCTCAGCAAATTAATTTTTTTGTTAGGTTTTTTTTTTTTTCCACAGATAGGGTCTTGCTATGTTTACCAGGCTGGAGTGCAGTGACCATTGACAGGCGTGATCACAGCACACTATAACCTCAAACTCCTGGGCTCAAGGATCCCGAGTAGCTGGGACTACAGGTGTGTGCCACTGCACCTGACCTACAGCCAATTAAAAAGAAATTAATATCACACACAGTGTGATCTCTGACCACAACGAAATCAAAGTAGAAATCAAGAACAGAAAGATAAGAGGAAGATTTCCAAATACTTGAAAACGAAATGACATATTTCTAAATAATCCATGCATCAAAGAGGAAATCTCAAGGGAAATAAAAAAATACATTAAACTGAATGAAAATGAAAATACAACAAATCAATTGTGGGACACATCTAAGCAGTGCTGAGAGGAAAATTTATAGCACTAAGTGCACACATTAGAAAAGAGGAAAAGTCTCATATCAATAATTTAAGCCCCACCTCAAGAACCTAGGAAAAGAAAAGCAAAATAATCCCAAAAGAAGCAGAAGTAAAGAAATAATAAAGATAAGAGTATTCTGGGCACAATGGCTTACACCTGTCATCCCAGCAGTTTGGTAGGCTGAGGCTGGAGGATCACTTGAGGCCAGGAGTTTGAGATGAGCCTGGGCAACACAGGGACACCCTGTCTCTACTAAAAATTAAAAACAAAAAAAATTAGCCAGGTGTGGTGGTGCACATCTGTAGTCCCAGCTACTTAGGAGGCTGAGGCAGGAAGATCACTAGAACCCAGAAGTTCAAGGTTACAGTGAGCTATGATCACACCACTGCACTCTAGCCTAGGTGACAGAGTGGGACCTTGATTCTAAAAAAATAAAAATAAATAATAGCAGAAATTAATAAAATTGAAAACATAAAATAATCAAGATTGTTTTGGTCTTGGTGGAGGGAGAGTCATACAGAACAGAACAGAGAAGCCAAAAATAGACCCACACAAATGTGACAA
This sequence comes from Homo sapiens, assembly GCF_000001405.40. Taxonomy (NCBI): domain Eukaryota; kingdom Metazoa; phylum Chordata; class Mammalia; order Primates; family Hominidae; genus Homo; species Homo sapiens. The sequence continues at coordinate 223,185,894 of NC_000001.11, forward strand.
CTGATTTGCAGCAAAGGTTCAAAAGTAATTCAGTGGAGGAAAGACAGCCTTTCAACAAATGGTGCTGGAGCTATTGGACATCCATAGGCAAAATACATGCACTTCAACCTAATTCTCATACCTCATACAAAAATTAACATAAAATGGATCACAGACTTAAATGTAAAATTATAAAACAGAAAAAAAAACATAGAGAAAATCTTTGGGCTCTAGGGCTAGTCAAGCAGTTAGACCTAACATGAAAAGCATGATCCATAAAAGGAAAAACTGATAAATTGGATTTCATCAAGACTGGAAACTTTTGCTCTATGAAAGACCCATTAAGATCATAAAAAGACAAGCTAGAGAGTAAGAGAAAATAGTTGCAAACCACACGTCCAACAAAAGGCTAGCATCTAGAATATATAAAGAACTCTCAAAACTTAACAATAAAAAGCGAACGATTCAATTAGAACGTGGGTGTAGTAGGCTACATCGCGGCCTGAAAGCTATTCAGGTACTAACCCATGGGATCTGTCAATGTTACCTTATATAGCAGAATAAACTTTTCATATGCAACTCAGTTAATGATCTTGAGATGCAGAGATTATCTTGGATTATCCAGGTGGCCCCTAAATGTAATCCTAAGTGTTCTAATAAAACAAAGGAAGAGGGAGATTTGATTCAGAAGGCAGAAAGCGATGTGATGCTGAAAGCACAGAGAAGTTGGAGGATGCTTTGATGGCAGTAAGAAAGATGGAGGAAGGGGGCTACAGGCCAAGGAACGCAGCTCTAGAGGCTGGAAAAAAGAGGTGGATTCTCCCCTAGAGTCTCTAGAGGGAGTGCAGCCCTGGTGACAACTTGGTTTGAGCCCAGTGAAGCTGTCTTTGGACTCTAGCGTCAAGAACTATAAGAGAATGAATATGTGTGTGTTCATTTCTTTTGTGTTTTGAAACAGGGTCTTGCTCTGTCATCCAAGCTGGAGTGCAGTGGTACAATCACGGCTCACTGCAACCTGGACCTCCAGTGCTCAAGCAATTCTCCCACCTAAGCCTCCTGAGTAGCCAGGACTACAGGTGTGTGCCACCACGCCCAGCTAATTTTCTTTTATTTATTTATTTATTTATTTATTTATTTATTTATTTATAGATAGGGACTCACTATGTTGCCCAGGCTGGTCTCAAACTCCTGGGCACAAGTGGTCCTCTGTCCTTGATTGGCCTCCCAAAGAGTTGAGATTATAGGCATGAGCCATCATGCCAGGCCAGACGTGTGTTGTTTTTAAGCTACCAAGTTCACAGAAATTTGCTACTGCAGCAATGGGAAACTAATAGAACGGGAAAGAGACACAGAGATGTTTTACTGAAGAAGGTATACAGACAGAAATAAGCCCATGAAAATATGTACACTTTCTTTTTCTTTTCTTTTCTTTTTTTTTTTTTTTTGAGATGGAGATTCACTCTTGTTGCCCAGGCTGAAGTGCATGATCTCAGCTCACTGCAACCTCTGCCTCTCAGGCTCAAGCGATTCGCCTGTCTCAGCATCCCAGGTAGCTGGGATTACAGGCATGTGCCACCATGCCCGGCTAATTTTGTATTTTTAGTGGACACGGGGTTTCTCCATGTTGGTCAGTCTGGTCTTGAACTCCAGACCTCAGGTGATCCGCCCACGTTAGCCTCCCAAAGCACTGGGATTACAGACATGAGCCACCGTGCCTGGCCAAAAACATGTACATTTTCATTAGCCATTAGGGAAATGAAAAATAAAAACCACAATGGGATCTCACCACACACCCATCAGCATGGCTAAAATAAAAAGTAGTGACAGCATCAAATGCCAGTTAGAATGTAGAGAAACCAGATCACTCACACATTGCTGGTGGGAATGTAATGGTGCAGCCATTCTAGAAAACTTCGGGAGTTTCTTTAAAAAACTAAACGTGCAACTACCATATCATCCAGAAATTGCACCCTGGGACATTTGTCCTAGAGAAATGAAGACTTATCTTATGTTCCTACAAAAACCTGCACATGAATATTTACAGCAACTTCATTCGTAATAGCCCAAGAACTGGAAACAACCCCCGTGTCCTTCAACAAGTCGGTAAATGATTAAGCAGACTGGTTCATCCATACCATGAAATACTACTCAGCCATGAGAAGAAACAGCCTTGATACACAAAGCAACCTGGATAAATCTCCAGAGAATTATCCGGAGTGGAAAAAGCCAATCCCCAAAGGCTGCTACACAGTCCGTGACTGCATTAGTTTAACATTCTTAACATGACAAAATTATAGAGATGGAGAACAGGTTGGTGGTTGGCAGGAGTTAAGGAGGAGGAGAGGGCATTGACAAGGGAAGGAAATGGGTATGTCTATAAAAAGGCAACTTGAGGACCCCTTGTGATGATGGAAATGTTCTGTTTCTTAGCTGTATCAATGCCAGGGTCTTGGCTGTGATACCGTACTGCAGTTTTGCAAGATGTTACTATCGGGGGAAATTAGGTAAAGTGTTCATGGGATCTCTGCATTATTTCTTACAACTGCATATGAATCCACGATGATCTCAAAATAAGAAGTTTAAAACCACAAATGTGGGGAGGAGAGAGGCAGAAGTGTTTGAAAAGGCTAGAAATTATCAAACAACAATTTTAAAGTTCTATTCATAAACAAAGTAGAACTATTTGATTTCCCATTGTAAATAGAAAATGTGATTTTACATGCCCAGTACAACATATATGCTTAATAAATATTTGTTGGAAAGATGGTGGTGGGGGTGGATGGATGGAAAGCGAATAGCTGCAAATCCTGTCAGCAGGCAGTGTAGGGGCAGAGAGAGGATGAAGGAAAAAGAAAAGACAAAGAGATAAAGAAGGAGGAGGAAGGGGGAAAAAGAGCAGAAGAAGAGAAATAAGAAGAGAGAAAGGAGGAAATGAAGGGGAAAAGGAGGAAGAGGAAGAAGGGGAGGAAGGGGGAGGAAGAGGAAGAGAAAGAGAAGTCAGGGGAGATGAGAAGCATGGTGCTTTGTGGCATATTGACGGTGGGCAAGGCTGTGGATTTTTCTGAGCAGCCTTGGTGTGGAGAAAAGACCTCCCAGGGTGCATGGCGCCCGCAGACACCCTGGCTAGGCTGCCCCTTGTTGGGTGGAACTGCTCCCTCCCTCTTTGCTGGGCACCTACTTTGTCCCCTGGTGGGTGGCTCCTGTATGGGTGAGGTATTCCAGCTCTCTGGGCCCTTTCCTTCTCACCCTGTATCGGCACAGCTCCAGCACCAGGTCATGGTCACAGACAGTCAGAATGTGCTGATGGAATTTTCCTGTTGATTTAAGCTAGTGAGACCTTGCTTGTCCTGGAAAAACTGGACATGAGAGAGGTAGGGGGAACAGGAATTGCTTTCCAAGAATCTCCCTCATATGGGGTGCTCTGAAGGCCTCTTTTGTCATCTCCTTCTCCTTGGGAAGGGGTTCCTGGAAAGGTGCTGGTGCAGGAGGGCACTGGTGCAGGTAGCAGCTGGTGCAGGTGGGCGCTGGTGCAGGTGGGAGCTGGTGCAGGTAGGGGCTGGTGCAGGTGGGGGCTGGTGCAGGTGGGAGCTGGTGCAGGTGAGGGCTGGTGCAGGTGGGGGCTAATGCAGGTGGGGGCTGGTGCAGATGGGGGCTGGTGCAGGTGGGCGCTGGTGCAAGTGGGGGCTGGTACATGTGGGGGCTGGTGCAGGTGGGAGCTGGTGCAGGTGGGGGCTGGTGCAGATGGGGTCTAGTGCATGTGGGGGCTGGTGCAGGTGGGGGCTGGTGCAGGTGGAGGCTGGTGCAGCTGGGGGCCGGTGTAGGCAGATGCTGGTGCAGGTGGAGGCTGATACAGGTGGGCACTGGGGAAGTTAGGGGCTGGTGCAGGTGGGGGCTGGTGCAGGTGGACCTGCCAATTGGGACTAGGTGTCAGCCACAGCCAGGCGAGGGGGAAGGGAAGGAGCTGTCCTGGCTGGGGGCTTGGGGCACCAATTTGCAGGTGAGTGAGAAACCCCAAGACCAAACGTTTGATTGCGTGCATCACCTTTGTGTCACCTTTCAGTGCTGGACTTGTGTTCCCTGGAGACAGGGCCATGATCTTCTCTCCCATGTGTCAAATCAGACAATGGACACTGAAACACTGCGCTGGGGCCTCAGGAGGAGGATGAGGAACAGGATAGGGGGACACCCACCTCTCTCTGCCCAGGACGACTCAGGGGTGTGCCTCCTAGCAGCTGTGAAAACACTAAAGGATTTACAACATTCCCGCTTATGTGGGATTTGGATTCATTTCCACAGCTCTACCTATGAGTAAGAGAATCTATTCAGCAACATGACATCACGGAATGGCAAGAGTGACAGCTGCAGAGGTGCCAGATGTTGTCCCATCTCTGTCTCACTGTGCTCTGGCCTTCTCTGGCCTCTCCTTTCTAACCCACCAACCCTGTCTGGCTGGGATATAGGCCTGGTTCATAAGTCCCCTCTGCTATACTCCACCTTTGCCTCAGGTCTCTCATCCCTTTGCCTTCTGCCCGCCACCCACCTGGATTGGAAGCCCACCGTGGGGGTTGTCTCTTGGCTGCTGAGCGCTCAGCAGGGCCCCTGTGGTCAGCAAATGGGTGATGTGGGAGTGCAGATGACACACCCTGGTTGGGTTCTTTCCGTGAGAAAGTGGCATTGGGTATTTCTAAAATGACTGTGGTTTTCTTAAATTTTCTAACCACAAAAATGTTATGAGTTTCTCACCGTGGCAGATCAAATAGAAATATGATTCATGCTTCACAATTTGTGTAGCCAATATCATAGATATTTGGTAGTTCTATTATGTATCTGACAGGTACATATATTTTTTTCCTCTAAGAGATTGTTCTGTGTGAATAGATAGAAACTACTTAAATACAGTAAAGTCTATTTATTACAGACCAAGAGCAAACAGTTTACTAAATGGAAAAATGCTGAAGTCATTTCTATTAATTCAAGATCAAGACAGAGTGCCCATTGTCATCACTATTGATCTACACAGCATTGGTGGGTTTAACTAATAACAATAAGATGAAAATGAATTGATTGGAATAAGCATTGGAAATGAAGACAGAAATGTCTTTATTTGCAGATGATTGAGAGTATACCTAGACAACCTATAGATCCTAATAAAATAATATTAAAATTAGTAAGAGAATTTAGTAAGGTAGATAGGTAGATAAATATATAAATATAAAGCTTTGGTTTATGGTAACAATAAACATTTGAGAAGGGAAATGAAAAAAAATAGCCTATTCATAATAACAGCAGGCACTCACTATACAATTCCTAAGGATGCATTTAACAAGAAAAGGTAAACTATTTACAGAAGTAAAATGATACAATCGTATTGAAGGACATTTTAAAAAAAACCCTCAGCAAATGGATATGTACAAGCCATGCTTCTGTATGGAAAGATGTAACATCAAAAAATACCAGTTCTTAAAAAACTAATGTATTAAATTTAAGACATTACTATATAAATTTAATGCAATTGCAGTTAGAATTTTACTTCTAAGAACCGGATAAAGTAATTTTAGATTCTATGTAGATAAAATAATTGTAAAGTAAATGTAAAATAACTATACATTTCAAATGTTCAGAGAAAAATAGTGAAGAAAATGCGAATGCATGGGGACCAGTTCTAGTATAGACAATAAAACTCAGACTCAAGCAACCAATACCAAAACAGTATGTTGCTGGCACCGGATCTGGCCAATGTATTAAGGAAACAGACCTGAGAGCCCAGAAATAGATGAGTAGAGAAATCTAAAATATGATGATGGCATTTTCAGTCAGAGAGAAAGGGTGGTTCCAGCAATTGTTCAGGTACAACTGTTTATCCAACTTTAAGAAAAACAAACAGAGATTCTACTTTAACCATATGTAGAAACAAATTCTAGGTGATTTAAAGATTTACTTGTCAAAATAAGACATTAACATATTAGGACAGAATTTAGGGGTCTATTTATATAATCATAGAGGGAGGGAGCACTCTTTCCTTCCCTTCCCTTCCCTTCCCTTCCCTTCCCTTCCCTCCCTCCCTCCCTCTCTCTTTCTCTCTTTCTCTCTTTCCTTCTCTCTCTCTCTTTCTTTCCTTCTTTCTTTCTTTCTTTCTTTCTTTCTTTCTTTCTTTCTTTCTCTCTTTCTTTCTTTCCTTCTTTCTTTTTTTTTTTTTTAAATAGAGTTTTGCTCTTGTTGCCCAGACTGGAGTACAATGGTGTGATCTCAGCTCAACGCAACCTCCACCTCCTGGGTTCAAGTGATTCTCGTGCCTCAGCCTCCTGAGTAGCTTGGATTACAGGCCTCTGCCACCACACCTGGCTAATTTTGTATTTTTAGTAGAGGTGGGGTTTCTCCATGTTGGTCAGGCTGGTCTTGAACTCCCGACCTCAAGTGATCTGCCTACCTCAAACTCCCAAAGTGCTGGGATTACAGGCGTGAGCCACCGCGCCCAGCCAGAAGGAGCACTTTCTAAACAAGCTAGAAATCCCAGAAGCCATCAACAAAGGGGGAGATATATGTTGACTACATGAAAATTAAACATTTTATAAGAGAAGGATCCATGAGCAAAATCAAAGAGCAAACAACAGACTAGGAAATGTATTTCCAACACACAATCAATCTCTTAAACCATTGAAAAACTATGAATTAATTATACTTTTAAAAGATAAATTTAAATTGTAGCAAGAAAATGCTAAAGGACTATGAGCTGCTAATTTGCAGAAGAAGCAATCCAAGCACCCAGAAAACACATGAAAGGAGACTCAGAGAACAGAAATTCAACAAATGAGGCAACAGGGCCACCTAAGGTTTTAGGGTGACCAACTTGTCCTTGTTTGCCCAGGAGTCTCCTAGTTTTGAAACTCCTTAGTCCTGGGCAAACTGAGATGGTTGCCCTTGACAGAAGAAAGAAAAGCCTGAATCAGGTATTTGAACTTTGAATGGACCAAGAGTGTACTCAATGAGATTGAGTTAACCCCAAAAGACTTAAACCCCAGAAAGAGACTAAGTGGACTTCAATGAGCAGCTTTGTGTTTTCTTACCATTAAGGGATTAGGGGCTCCAGGATGAGGTGGCAGCAATTCTAGGCAGTAAAGAAAGTTACTGACATGGCTGGAAAGTTTGTATACAAAGGTGGTTTAGGGTCATGTGGGGGCTGAAACCTAGCTCATGCTCTGCTTGTCGAGCTGTGTGTCCTGGTGTGGGGCTGAGCCCGTCTGGACCAAGGGATGCCCTTGACTCTGCACACAGGTGTGCATGGGTTAGAGGGACCCTAGTGATGGCCGTCCTGTCATCTGGGCTTGGTAGAGCCCAGGCCCAAAGCATGGTGACACTCAGAGGACACACTCCTGCATGGTCCAAGGCAGTGTTTCAGGGAAGAATCTGTCTGGGTGGAGGCCTGGTGGGCTGGAGGGCTTGGAGGTGTCTGTGAGGTTGCCCTGCAGGCCCTGACCTCTCAGAGATTGTACTGAGGGAGTGCCAGTCCTCCTGGTTGTCTGACTGGCTGTGCCCCCACTGCCACCCTCTCAGCCTACAGCCTCTTGCTCTTCACTCAGCCAGCTCCACAGGAACCTTTTTACATTCTGAGCTCAGCAGTTCTTCTTCCCCACAGCCAGGCCCCTGGCCCCCTCCTCCCTGTAGCCTTCCTTGCCTGGGCTCTGAGAACCTGCCCTGACTGCAGACTGGGGTCTTTGTTAATCTAGATGAGGGCCCGGGGGCTGAGCTTCAGGTCTCAGAATGTGCTTTCTAAGGTGGCCACCTTGAGACCTCCCATCCCATAAGCTCTTCTTACAATGTGTTGTTGACTTTCCTCCCATTGAGAGGTGGGGGTGCCTTTGAATTTGGGAGGGACTATGTCATACAACTATGACAAAAGTGACTGTCTTCATCTGTTTTCTATTGTTATAACAGAATAACACAGACTTGGTGATTTTTTTTTTTTTTGAGACAGGGTCTTGCTCTGTTGCCCAGACTGGAGTGCAGTGGTTTGATCTCGACTCACTGCAACCTCCATCTCCTGGGTTCAAGTGATCCTCCCACTTTAGCCTCTGGAGTCACTGGGACTACTATGTGCACAACACCACACCCAGCTAATTTCTGTATTTTTTGTAGAGATGGGGTTTCACCGTGTTGTCCAGGCTGTTCTCAAACTCCTGGGCTCAAGTGATGCACCCACCTCAGCATCCCAAAGTGCTAGGATTACAGACATGAGCCACCACTGTGCCCACCCCAGACTGGGTGATTTATAAAGAAAATAAGGGGTTTTTTTGGGCTCATGGAGGCTGGGAAACCCAAGAGCATGGCACTGGCATCTGGTGAGGGCTTTCTTGCTGCAGCATCTCGTGGTGGAAGGACAAGTGAACATGACAGACAGAGAATGGAGGCTAAACTTAAGCTTTTTATCAGGAGTCTACTCCCATGATAACTAACCTGCTCCCACAATAATGGCCTGAATGCATTCATTAGAATGGTGTCCCTGTGACTTACTCACCTCTTAAAGGCTCCGTATCTTAATACTGTTACAGTGTCAATTAAATCTCAACATGAGCTTAGTAGAGGTCAAACATTCAAACTCCAGCAGTGACATTATGTGAGGCTCATTCCTAAAAGGCAATACAGCTTCTGCCTGGTTCTCTTGGGACACCTGCTCTTGGAATCCAGCTACCATGCTGTGAGGAAGCCCAAGCCTCCTGGAGAGGCCATGTGTGGCTCTTCTGACTGAGCTGACAACCAGATTGGTTATGGAAACTTCTGAGATGGCTCCAGCCCCAATTAACCTCGATTGTGTAAGAAACATCTAGCTGAACCCATTCAACCGCCAGAACTGTGAGAGGTGATAATAAAAATATTGCTCATGTTTTAAGCCACCGTGTTTTGGGATGATTTGTAAACAGCAATAGATAATTGGTGCCACAATTCTGGCAGCAGAGCACTAAGACCAAAACCCTGTTATAAGCTTCTGCTCTGATCATTTAACCCCTACCACTTTCCTGGGTGATCAGCCATTTGTTCAACTTGCATTGGGTGAGCATTCGCCTCATGCCAGGCTCTGTGTCACACTGAGGGCCCAGTGAGGGGTGAACAAACAGACTTGGTGCTGGCATTCAGAGAAGGGACATCTGTTACTCGGGAGACCCTCATTCCCCTTATCTCATGAAGTGAAGGGGATCTGGTCCCACCTGGCTTCTTCCCTCTTCCTTTCCCTGCAGCCAGGCTGGGCCTGGAGTGTCCTAGCACATGTCACTCTAGTGACTGAATTCTGGACATTATTATTGGCTTCCTGTGAGAACCGAAGCAGGGGCCCTTGAGGGATAAGATCAGATGAACAGGTTTAAACCAAAAGGGAGACAAAGCCACCCCAAACTGAGAGGCAGGATGGAGTACAGGGAGACGTCCAGAAAGCAGGGACCTAATCTAGGATGGGGAGATTTGAAAGACAGGAAGGAGGGTCTGTGCTGGTGGTTGGCATTGTTGGGGCGCCAAGGGGGTCACTCAGGGTGGTGTCTCTCATGTGGCCTTTGGTTCTTTCTCCAGAGAAGCACTCAGGCGAGGAGGCTGGGTCATGTTTCAGGGTTGTTAAAAATACAGCAGTAACTCACTGAGTGCCGCCTTCTATGGGGTTGGCCTGGGGAGCTGTAAAGTATAAAGGGAAACCTCTTCCCCAGGTGCAAGGACCTGCTGCTGGCAGTTGATGGAGCAACTGTGGGAGTGGTGATTGGCTGCTTTGAGGAGGCCCAAGAAGTGAGCTGCCACCTCACAACTCCAGGGGCTGGGCAAGGATGAGAGAGTCTCAGATTCATTGCTGGGGCTTGGAGTCTAAGGGGCATGGAGGGATGTAGTAGTCAGCTAGAGCTGCCATAATAAAGCACCAGAAACAGGATGGCTTACACAACAGAAATGTATTTTCTCATCGTTCTGCAGACCAGAAGTCCAAGATCAAGGGGTCAGCAGGATTGTTCCTCCTGAGGGTTAGGAGGGAGAATCTGCTCTAGGCCTCTCTCCTGGTTTCTAGTGTTTGCCAGCAATCTTTGCCATTTCTTGGTTTGTAAAAGCATCACCTGATTTCTGCCTTGGTCTTCAGGTGATGTTCTCCCTGTCTGCATGTTTGTGTCTAAATTTCCCCTTTTTATAAGGACATCAGTCATATTGGATTAGGACTCACCCTTCTCCAGTATTACTGCATCTTAACTTGATTACTTCTGTAAAGATTTCTTCTCCAAGTGAAGTCACATTCTGAGGTACTGGTTAGGACTCCAGTGTATGGCTTTGAAGGGACACAATTCACCCATAACATGAGACGATAATGTCAACCAGGCACCTAGTTCTATAGCTGACTTCTTGATCTCAGGTAATGTGCTCAACAACTCTGTGATAAAAATACTATACATTTTTTTCTAATTATTTATTATAAAATTTTAAAAACATACAGCAGTCACTACTAAAAATACAAAAAATTAGCTGGGTGTGGTGGTGGGTGTCTGTAGTCCCAGCTACTCGGGAGGCTGAGGCAGGAGAATGGCGTGAATCTGGGAGACAGAGCTTGCAGTGAGCTGAGATTGCACCACTGCACTCCAGCCTGGGCGACAGAGCAAGACTCTGTCTCAAAAAAAAAAAACAAAAAAAACCCAAACATACAGCAAAGCTGAAAGAATTTTACAGTGAGCACCCTTCCCATATGCCCACTAGCTACATTCTACTATTGACATTTTACCTTATTTGCCTTGTCACATAATCTGTCCATCTATTCATCCTCAATCCACCCATTAATCCACCTTATTTTCTGGTGCATTTCAAAGTAAATTGCAAACATCAATACGTTTTTCCCTAAAGTTAGCAGTCAATCATTAACTAGAGTTCAATATTTTCTTTACAGATTTTTCTTCTGAGGTACAATGAAGTGCTCAAATCTTAAGTATACATTTATTGAGTTTTAAGGAAAGCAAACAGCTGTGTAATCCAAATGCCTAGCAAGATATAGAACATTACCATCACCATGGAAATTTCCCTCATGTCCTTTCCCAATCTCTGCCTCCACCCCTCAGAGGCAACCACCAGTCGATTTTTCCACTGTAGCTTAGTTTTGCCTGTTCTAGAACTTCATAAAAAGTGGAATCAGATGCAATTTACTCATTCATTTAAGGCTTCTTCCACTGATCGTCATGTTGTCAAGCTTCATCCGTGCTGAATGAATGTTGTAGTGTGTATCTGTAATTCATTGCTCCTTATTGCTGAGTAGTATCTCATTGTATGGACGTGCCACACTTCTCCTGATGAGCCTCTGGGCTGTTTTCAGCTCTCGGCTACTGCAAATAAGTATGTATTTGCATCTCCATTTTAGGGATAACGAAGTGATGCTCAGGAAGTTTAAGTGGCTTGTTGAAGGTCATATGGGTCATGAGGGGCAGAACCAAGATTTGAACTCAGCCAGATTGGTCAGATGCCAGAGCCTAAAGCATTTTCTTTTTAATTCCTTTGTGATATGTTTGCTTTCCGTGGTGTGGGGTGGCCTGGGAAGTAAAGTATACCATGGGATGTGTATTTTACCTTCATCTGACTGATTTGCATTATAGTCAGGCAGTCTGCAATTGCAAGAGTGGTTTTGAGTCCCTGCTTCACCATTTACCAGCCGTGTGACCCTGGGCACATGACTAAACTTGCTTCTGTCTCTGCTTCCTGATCTGTACAATGGGGAGATAACAGCATACATAGGGTTGTTGTGAGGGTTAAATAACGAATTAATATATGAAAGCCCAGTGACTGTGCCAGGCATATGGTAAGTGCCATATGAATGTGAGATATTTGACAATTATCTCTTGAGCACTATCTCCAGGCCACATCCATGTGCTAAGTATACAAGGATGACTAACGCATTGTATCGGGCCCACCTTGTCTGCACCTTTCATCCTCTGGATAGATCCCTCTTTTCCTGTGGCCATTGGTGAGGCCATCAGCTTCAAGCAGGTATACCTGTCGGCATCTTGCCTTGTTGTTCCCTCCTCTCTATGAGGAACTGCCATACCCTTCTCCACCGCGGCTGCGCCACTTCACATCCCAGCAACAGTGCACAGGGGTTCCAGTGTCTCCACATGCTTGCCAACATGTCTCCCTCCTTTCCTCCCTCATTCCCTCCCTCCCTTCCTTCCTTCCTTCTTTCTTTCCTTCCTTCCCTTCCTCCCTCCCTCCTTCCTTCCCTCCCTCCTTCTCTCTCTTTTTCTTTCTTTCTTTCTTTTTTCTTTCTTTCTCTTTCTTTCTTTTCTTCCTTCCTTCCTTCTTCCTTTCCATTCCTTTCCTTTCATTTCCTTTTCTTTCCTTTCCTTTCCTTCTCTGTCATTCTTTCTTAATATTAAACTTTTAGCTATGGAAAACAGTATAGCTATTTCTCAAAAAATTAAAACTAAAGTTACCATATGATCCAGTAATACCTCTTCTGGGTATATATCCAAAAGAATTGAAAGCAGGGTCTTGATATACTTGTACACCATGTTTATAGCAGCATTATTCACAATGGCCAAAAGCTGGAAGCAACCCAAGTGTCCATTGACGGATGACTAAATAAGCAAAATGTGGTCTATCCATATAAAGGAATATTAGTTGACCATAAAAGGCAAGGAAATTATGACACAAACTACAACTTATGTCAAGCTACAACTTGCTGGATGAAACTTGAGGACAGTATGCTAAGTGAAATCAGCTAGACACAAAAAGACAAGCACCATATACTTCCATTTCTTTGAGGTACGTGGAATAGTGAAAGTCATAGGGACGGGAAGTAGAATATGGTGGCTACCAGGGACCAGGGGTAGCAGGTAACAGGGAAATATTGTTTCGTGGGTATAGGGTTTCACTTTCACCAGATGAAGAGTTCTGGAAATGGATGGTGGTGATGGTTGCACAACAATGTGGGTGTACCTAATGCTGATGAAATATGCAGTTAAAAATGGTTAAGATGGTTTTATGTTACAAAATACATATTTTATCAAAATTTTAAAAAATTTAATACTTTTAGAAAATTTTAAAATTGGAAAAAAGTTGTCTGTGTGAATTGTTTCCTTGTCTACTGTTGAAGTCAAAATAAAAAAGTGGAGATGAACCAAAATAAAAATAGAGAGATGAATCTCGAAATGTAGCATTTTATTTGGGAAGAAAGAATTGCAATTCACGGCATACACACAGACAGAGTGGTCTTCTGAAGATGGTATGCCTGAAGAACAAAGAGAAGGTTGGGGGTTTTATAAAAAAAGGGAAATGTTACATGTGTTATTGGGAGAAAGTTCACTGGTATTAGCAAAGCCCTGGGAACTGGCAAGCTCTGACTGGTGAGCCATGAAGATGGGCAAAAGCCATGAAGGTAGTCCCATAGTTGCAGCAAGTTAGCTCAGCAGCTATGTGAACAACTGGCCTCAGGTTACAACCAGCAGCTTCAGCAGCCAGACTTGCAGAGCTGTACATTCCTGGAGCAACGTTATGTGTCCTGAGTGCTTTCCACCACTGGTTGTTCCTTCTCCTTCTTCTCCTTCTTCTCCTTCTTTTCCTTCTTCTCTTCTCCTCCTTCTTTTCCTTCTTCTCTTCTCCTCCTTCTCCTCTTCCTCCTCCTTCCTTTTCCTCTTCCTCTTCCTCTTCTTCCTCTTTCTTCTGTTCTTTTTTTTTAATTTAATTTTATTTTTTATTATACTTTAAGTTTTAGGGTACATGTGCACATTGTGCAGGTTAGTTACATATGTATACATGTGCCATGCTGGTGCGCTGCACCCACTAACTCATCATCTAGCATTAGGTGTATCTCCCAATGCTATCCCTCCCCCCTCCCCCCTTCCCCCCCCCACAATAGTCCCCAGAGTGTGATGTTCCCCTTCCTGTGTCCATGTGATCTCATTGTTCAATTCCCACCTATGAGTGAGAATATGCGGTGTTTGGTTCCTCTTTCGTCTTTTCTTCTTCTTCTTCTTCTTCCTCCTCCTCCTCCTTCTTCTTCTACCTCTTCTTCCTCTTCTTCCTCCTCCTCCTCTTCTTCTTCTTCTTCTTTTTTCTTTTTTTTTTTTTGACAGAGTCTTGCTCTGTCACCCAGGCTGGAGTGCAGTGGTGCGATCTTGGCTCACTGCAGCCTCTACTTCCAGATTCAAGCGATTCTCCTGCCTCAGCCTCTCTAATAGCTGGGACTACAGGCATGTGCCAGCACACCTGGCTAATTTTTTTATTATTATACTTTAAGTTTTAGGGTACATGTGCACAACGTGCAGGTTTGTTACATATGTATACATGTGCCATGTTGGTGTGCTGCACCCATTAACTCGTCATTTAACATTAGGTATATCTCCTAATGCTATCCCTCCCCTCTCCCCCCACCCCACAACAGGCCCCGGTGTGTGATGTTTCCCTTCCTGTGTCCACGTGTTCTCATTGTTCAGTTCCCACCTATGAGTGAGAATATGTGGTGTTTGGTTATTTGTTCTTGCGATAGTTTACTGAGAATGATGATTTCCAGTCCAGTCCCTTTCCCACGTGCCTTGCCCAGCCACAATGCCTCTCAGCGCAGCCCCCTCGCGGCTTCCCTTCCCCAGTCTTGCTTCATGCCACACTGTGCGTTGGGAGAGCTCCCAAAACCCTCCTATGGTTCCCTGCTGCCCTAGAGATGAAGCCCACCCTCCTCAACATGGCCACAAGGCCCCCGGCAGCTGGCAGAAGGCTTGGGGACCCTGGTGGAGCCTCCGTGGGCAAACCGTTTGTCCCCTACCATCATGCTTGGTGTATGGCTGCATTTGCCCTGTGCTTGTCTCCTCTGCTCTCTAAGTGATCTAAGGGCTGTCCTTGTCACTCTTGTTTACCCTGAATCCCCGGATCTCTCACAATCCCTGGCACTCCAAAAATATTGTCAAATAAATACATGATCAAGGAGAGCTAACACAGGAGCCCTTTGCCTCACCTCCTGTGCCCTGGTGCCAGGCTGGCATGACATGCCTTCCTCTAGGTGCCTTGGGAACCCAGCCTGAGTTCAGCTTTATGAGGAAGATAGGACAGCCCAGGTCTTGCCAATTCACAGGAACTTTTGCCACTTTTAGCCCATTTAAGGCTGACAGAGATTGGTCTAGAATCAGGAAAAGTTGAATTCAAGTACAGCAGGGTGGGCTTGACCCAGTCACAGGACCTCCAGTGACATCATTGGATCATTGGATTTTGCAAGATAGTGAACGTCAGGGAGTCCCACAGTGGCACCATGAGGAGTCAGCCCACAGTCAATTCCTCCTCTCACTTTCTCTTTCTCAGATCTTTGCAGACAAAGTATCCCGTTCAGACTGTTAAATACTGCACTTTCGGCCGGGTGCGGTGGCACATGCCTGTAATCCCAGCACTTTGGGAGGCTGAGGCTGGTGGATCACTTGAGGTGAGGAGATCGAGACCAGCCTGGCCAACATGATGAAACCCCATCTCTACTAAAAATACAAAAATTAAATAATAAATTACAAATAAATAAAATAAAATAAAACAAAATAAAATAAAATACTGCACTTTCAAAATGGTTGGCTTTGACCATTTTACCAATGAGGAAACTAGCTTACACGGGAGGGCTGGAGGCAATGTTTTTTTTTTTTGCCAGCATCCAAGTGGGATGCCTCCTCCCAAAGCAGCCCTGGATTTTTCCCTCAGGCCATGGGAGGACCCAATGTGACGGGCACCAGGCTGGTCCTACACTATGCCTGGCCACCCCAGCTCAGCCAACACGTGACTCTTTCTCCATGCTCATCCTTCATGTTTCTTCATCATTACCCAGAGCTCCCAGACCTAACAGCTTGCTCCTAGTGGCACGCAGGCATTCAGAGACTCAGAAATTATACTCTGAGCCAATTGGGCCATGTTATGTTCCTTGTGCTCATATGGAGCATACACTGAAGGAAGTAGAAGCAGAGAATATCAGAGCCAGAGGGACCCTAGGAGCCATCAGTGTTCACTTCTCTTCTCTCCTGATGGGGAAACTGAGGCCCAGACAGCTGAACCATGGTAGGAGTCCTTTTCCTGACTCCCCCTCCCATGCTCTTCCTACACCCGAGCTGCCTTCCCGGCTCCTTTATGAAGCACTAGACTGCCCTGGCCTGTGGGGTTGGGGAGAAGGAAAATCAATAGAGACAGTAATGGGCCAGGCTCTATCTGACCTTTGAGGAGTCCAGTAGGAGAGGGTTGTGTCTCTCCCTTCAGCCAAATCAGCATTCAGAGGGGACTTGGCAGGGAATCAGCCTCCCAGCCGTGCCGCCTGAGTCATGAAGCATGGTGCTGCCTTGGTGATCATGCTTGGGAACAGGGATTGACCAACATGCTGAGCAGGTGTGCAGGTGGTGAGGTGGGGCCCAGGGTACTTGTCTGTCTGCTCTGAGAGTGCCAGGTTGCAGGCCAGCCCTGGGGTGGTGGGGGCTCTTTCTCCTGCCAGGTTCCACCTCTTCTCCATATACCACCTCCCCTCCCTTTTTCCCTCCTCCTCCAGCTTTCTGCTCTCCGTGACTCCCCTCTCCCTCCCCCACTGATCCCTCACTCTTCTTTCCTACCGCTCCCAGTCTGGGCTGTCCAGGTCATATGGAATCGAGTTTAGGAGCCGCTGTCCTTCGGGGATTCCTCTGATGCTCTTCAGCGAGGTCAGCTCCTTTCTCCTGGGTGCTGGCTGTGCACTGGCCTCTGCCTCCTCTGTTGTCTGAATGAGGAGCTCCAGGTGCTGCAGGCTGTACTCCGTTCCCCAGTGCAGTGGGGGGCTCTCTGAGTCCCTGGGCAGAGCAGGGATGGGGAGGGGAGGGTGACGGGGAGCCTTCAGGAGTTGAAGCTAACGGAAGGAGTGGGAGCGGGACAACGTGGTGATCTGGGAGGGAAGTGGGCCAGATGGGACTGTGGTCAGGCCCTGGCCAGTGGGTAAGTGTGAAGAATGGAGGCACTGGGTAATGCAGCTCCTGGGCACAGTGGGCACCCTGTGCTTGTGCGTGGGGGGAGGAGTGGGAGGCAGACTCCCATAGGCAGTCAGAACCCGGGCCTCTGGCTCAGGGCTCTGTCCATTCCCACCAGCTCTGGGATCCCCAGGGCTGGCTCCATGGTGTGGATCCACCTAGCCCTCATCTTTGGAACTGTCCTATAGCCCCTCATCAGCCCCCTGCCTGGGAGAGGGAGGAGAGAGCTTGGTCAGTCTGTTCATGCTGCCGTTGGCATTTCCGGAACAAGCTGTGCAGGTGTCTGTGTCCCCTGGCGTCAGTTCACAGACTCCGCTGTCTCTGCTGAGGGAGAGTAGAGAGCCACCGGCTGTACCCTCAGCACTAACTGTGGCCCCATGCGCGGTTCAGTCTGGCTCTGGACGCTTTCTCTCTGGGGTATGTCTCACCACACTTGAGCACACAGCAGGCCTGGCAGGCAGGTGCTGCTCCCGGTGAGATGGTGCATGGCCCCTTCTGAGGGCAGAGTGAGCTCATGCCCTGAAACATCTGCAGAGAGGGAGTTAGGGGTCCTCACCCTAGGGGCTGTTTCAGCTGGAAGTTATCCAGTCTCTTCTAACTTGCTCCATCTGGTGGGCCTGGGAGAGTGAGGGAGGTGAGGGTGGGGGTCGGGGAAAGGAGTGAGAGAGGACTTAGGACCAGAGAGGGAGAGACCTGCTCAGGGTCATGCCTTTCATGACAGACCCAGGCCCAGAAACCAGGCATCCTGGCCTCACCAGAGAATGTCCTTTGTCTAGTAAATAAACAAACTAGATAAATGGTGGCAACAGCTAACTGAGCACATGGTGCCCTTGAGGCCATCATGGGAGCCCAGAGGAACCCAGGCTGAAAGAGGAGAGTGGGGGCAGCACTAGAAAAGGCCAGAGGGACACGTCAGCCCATGGAGAAAAAGTAGCATGTTGATTTTATTACCCTCTCCCTTCCTTTCTTCTAAAAAACCGAATGTATTATTCAGGCCCATGGCCTATTTACAGACCTACCCTGGAGTTGTTAGGAGAGTTGAAGGAGATAATGGAATGAAAGTGCTGTGAAAACGTGATAGACTCTACAAATGTTAGTCCTTATTATCACTTTATTATCAGGCTTGCATTCCTGACACCTGGGTTTTATAGAGGCTGATAAAATGACAGCACTGGAAGGGATCTCGCAGGTCACCCAGACCATCCGCTACCTCTCAGCCAGGGTTGGGTGGGGTGAGAACAGAGTTTTGGAGGGGGATCCTCTTTAAGAAAAAGAACGTAAAGCTACAAGCGACATTAATACAGAAATGAAGATTTATTCAGAATGAGAAATCACAGCAAATTATACATTTCAAAAAGCTGAAAGTTGACAACATAGACATCACAAAAACCCAGAAAAGAATAAAAATATATTTTATAAACTATTATTGATCCTCTGCTGCCACTCATCTACAATGTTTTCATCTTGCATGTTTTGGCTATATGTTCTCTGATTTCTTCATAGGACAATAATTTTGTATTATCATTTTCTATAGGGAGAAAAAAGGTAATTCTATCTTTCCTGTAAACATGGTTGGCCCTAGTTTGGTTGGCCCTCGGTAGTTTGAAAACGTGCATCTGTTGGCTTCTTTGCTTGGCATTGGTAATGTCACACCTCAGCCATTCTCTGTTCAGCTATGTGAGCTCCTGATCAGCCTCCCAGGCCTTTGTCCCTCAATTCCCCCTCAGCTGCGTCAGCTCAGTCACAGCCTTGCCCACATGGGCACTTGCCCCTCACCTGCCTCTGCTGCTCCAGTCCTGGGGTAGGGGACAGAGTGGCTATGGGACCTGGTCGTGATGACCTCTGAGTGGGATGCTGAGCAGGGTCTTATTGGCTCTTTCCTCCTGGAGTTGAAGCGTGTGGAGCCTTGGTGAGTGAGTCCCCCAGAAACACGTGGGAGCCCTGCCATTGAAGGTGGGCTAGCACCTGTAGTCCTAGGACCCTGCTGGGGAGTGGTGTGTGACATTTGCTGGGGCAATGTGCCCTACTGGGGCCACTGTGGCCTCCCAGCCAGCCCTCAAGTATAATGCATTGAGGCACAGAAAGGCCAGTTTTGGGTGTGGGGCCATGAGGTGCGGGCTCTGGTGGCCTCATGGTCAGTCCCCCTCTGGTCCTGGGTTAGCATTTCCCAGAGGGGCCTGGGATGCCCTGTGAGAAGAGGCTCCCTAGTTGTCTTAGTTCAGGCTACAAAGTACCATAGACTGGGTGGCTTATAAACAACAGTCATTGATTTCTCACAGCTCTGGTGGCTGGAACTCCAAGCTGGAGTGCCAGCACCACTGATTTCTGGTGAGGGCTCTCTTCTGGGCTGCAGACAGCTGACTTCTATCCTTGCATGGTGGAAAGAGAGCAAAGGAGCGCTCTGTTCTCTTCTTAAAAGGTTGGTAATCCCATTCACAAGGGCTCCACCCTCATGACCTAATCACCTCCCAGAGGCCTCACCTCCTAATGCCCTCATTATGGGGATTAAATCTCAACATATAAATTGGGTGGGGGGGGGCGATACATTCAGTCCATAACATGTGGGAGACCCTGTATTACCATTACCATGTTAAATACTCTGAGAAGCCCTTCAATGAAGAAACCTGATTGGGTCAATGAAACTTTCTCCCAAAGTTTCCCACAGAACCCTTCTTTCATCCAACATGTATTAACATCTCGCACTTAAGAAAACACTGTCATATAGAGACTTCCTGAGAGAGAAGCAAGGGTAATGAAGGTCCCAGACCCCACAGAAGGAGGCCTCACAATTGGGTTCCTCCTCGGGATATAAGACACTTTTGTGGCACATCTTTCTCAGTGATGTTACATTCAACTCAGGCTAGAAGGAGCCTCACACTCACTGGACACGGGCTCGGATTGGATTTAATTTAACATAACCAGGCTGGGCATGGTGGCTCATGCCTGTAATCCCAGCACTTTAGGAGGCCAAGGTGGGAGGACTGCTTGAGCTCAAGAGTTCAAGACCAGCCTGGGCAATACAGTGAGACCCCATGTCAATTAGAAAAAAAAAGAAGAAGAAGAAGGCCAGGTGTGGTGGCTCATGCCTGTAATCCCAGCACTTTGGGAGGCTGAGGTGGGCAGATCATGAGGTCAAGAGATTGAGACCATCCTGGCCAGCATGGTGAAACCCTGTCTCTACTAAAAATACAAAAATTAGTTGAGCATGGTGGTGCGTGCCTGTAGTCCCAGCTACTCTGGAGGCTAAGGCAGGAGAACCACTTGAACCTGGGAGGTGGAAGTTGTAGTGAGCCGAGATTGCACCACTGCACTCCAGCCTGGTGAGAGAGTGAGACTCTGTCAATTAAAAAAAAAAAAAAAAGAAAATAATTTAACATAACTTTTCGAGTTAGTTAAAGAAAACCTAGATAGGCCCACACTAGGAGTGGAGGGAGCTTGGATAAACTCGGGCAAGAGGGGCATCCAAGCATGGAGGACAGGGATACCGTTCGGAGTTTAGAAAAATTGAAGACAGAAAATCAGAACTTGGGCTGGTTGCAGTGGCTCACACTTGTAATCCCAGCACTTTGGGAGGCTGAGGTGGGCGGATCACTTGAGGCCAAGAGTTCAAGATCGGCCTGGCCAACACGCCAAAACCCTGTCTCTACTAAAAAATACAAAGTTAGCTGGGCATGTTGGAGCATACTTGTAATCCCCACTACTTGGGAGGCTGAGGTGGGAGAATTGCTTGAACCTGGGAGGCTGAGGTGGGAGAACTGCTTGAACCCGGGAGGCAGAGTTTGCAATAAGCCAAGATTGCACCACTGCACTCCAGCCTGGGTGACGGAGGAAGACTCTGTCTCAAAAGAAAAAAAAAAGAAAAACAGAAATCACTACCTAAAAACCAAAGCCTCAGACCTACCGCTGAGAATCTGGATGAGCTGTGCTTTGAGTGGCTGAGCTCCAGTCATAAGGATTAGACCTTCCCAGAGGAAAGATATGCAGGTATAGGAGACACACACAGGTTAACCTGTAGCTTTGGGGGTAAAAGGCCCTCCAGGGATTTATATGTGGATAACAGGAAAGGGAAAAGGAAGGACTGGTGCAGAAATCATGAAAAGCAACTTGACCAGGTGTGAGAAATGGATGATGTGATGGACATCAAGCAGACACCATAGGTCGTTATTTTAGCTCTCTAGAATCTTGCAGAAAGTATTATTCAGCTCCTGACTTCCCTTAAGAATAACAATTACCCACGGTACATATGCACCTTTGGAAAGATCTGAACAAAATGGGCCTAAAAAATGGCAGGGGGATAAAATTGGTACATAGGGTACTGGTCAAATAAGTTCTAAAAAGCTTCCTGCTTCCAGCAGAGATGGCCACAGTTCATGTAAATGGCCATTAGAAAAGAAACACTATAGAAGTTCTAGAGAACAGGCTTGTAGATAAAGCTGCTAAGCAAGGCTCTATGAAGGAAGAGGTTAAACTTTTTAGCCTGATCCCAGGTATCCCTAAGATGGCATTAAAACCTCAATTTTCTAAGGAGGAGGGGGAAAAACTGGGCAAAATAGGGGCCACTCAAACTAAGGATGGGAGGTGGATGCTACCTGATGGGAGAGAAATAATAAGCAAACCCATAATAAGAGAATCAATGTCTACACTGCATAAGGGAAGTCATTGGGGTCCCCAGACCATGTATGATGCAATACTCAAGAATTAGGGGTGTATAGAGATTTATACACTTGCTAAACAAGTGTGCAGGGGTTGTGTAAACTGCCACAGAATGAACAAAAAGGTAGTTAAAAAACAGACTACCAGAAGAAGACCTCCTGGGTTAAGGCCATTTCAAAGCTTTCCCATATTTAGGCAGGACTACTAACCTTCCTACTGTGGAAACCAAAGACTAATTTTTAAGAAATTATATACTGGCCATATCCTCCACCCTGTCATCCCTTAGGTTAAAAGAACTTCTAACTCAAACCCCGCCTCTTAAGTTTACAGCTCACCACTTCCAGCCTGGGAACTCCGTGCTAATTGAGACTTGGAAAGAAGACAAGCTCCAGCCATGCTGGGAAGTTTCCTGTCAAGGGCTCCTGATCACTAAGACAGATGTACGAACAGCTGAATGGGGTAAACACATGTGCATTCATCTCAGAGAGTTAAACCTTTCTTTTGATTCAGCAGTTTGGAAACACTGTTTATCAAAAAACTGAAAAAAGAACCCCTGGAAGGAAGGGAAAAGGGTAGATGGGAAGTGTATAAATCACCTAAGGAACCTTTAAAGCTAACTCTAAGGAAAACCTAGAAGGAAGCTATAAGCAGGCGCCATCATTGGGGGCGAATATATTTACACGAGAGGTAAAAGGAGACCTAAATATTAAATAGGGCCCAGTACTAGGGGTGAAAAATAGGGAATATCCAGTCAAACTAATAGTCAACATAACTAGAACCTCCACCTCCCAGACCAGACTATAAAGTTCAATGCCTGCCAAGTCTTACATTGTGGGAATTTAGAAAACCAAAGGCAGCCGTTGCAAGCAAACCAATATCTGTGTCCTGAAACAGGTCGCTGTTAGGGAAAGCCCTGTGCTACTGGAATGAGGTCTGATGGACCACCCAGTGTCAAGGCTGGGTGAGTCATTCTTCCAAAAACAAACCCTTAAAAAATAAAATACATTTGTATAAGGGCCCTACACCACCTAACTGTAGAAATTTAAAATGCAATCTTATATTAATTACCATAAACAACCCGGCTACTCTAGACCAGGAACCTTGGAGGTATGGATTAGGAATAAATATCTCAGGAAGGGATCCCGCGGGACGGTTAGCTTTTAGGCTAGTCACCAACTCCACTCCGAGCCCACCCAGGGTTACTGTAACTCCCCATCCCACTACTTCCTTTAACCCACCAAACAATAACCCTAAAAAAGTAAAAATAATTAAGGTGACTAACTTAAGGCAAACTTTAGAAATTAAGACTGGCTATGGGGATGTAAATGCCTGGGTTGAATGGGTCAAATTTTCGGTACTAGCTCTTAATAAAAGTGACTGTTTTGCATGCTCTGCTGGGCAGCCTCAGGCACGGGTAGTTCCGTTTCCCCTAGGAAGGGATACCAGTCCCAAAGGAATGCGTTGTATGTTGGCTCCATACCAGGACAGGGATGCATGGGGAAATAAGATCTACAAAAGTCTATTATTGCTCTTTCCTGCATTGCGGAGGTCAGATCCTAAAGCAATCCCCTCGTTCTCCATAGGAAATATAAACCACTCCTCTTGTCTCTCTAGGCAGGGGGCAGAGTTCAACTCTCAACTTGTACCCACATCTTAAATGTTACTGGTAAGTCAAACAAAGGCAACTACTTGCCTCTTCATATACCCCCGGCTAATGTCTAGTGGTATTGTGGGAAAAGGAACCTCTGCAACTTGTTACTGCCCAATTGAACCGGGACTTGTGCCTTAGTTTAACTGGCCATTCCATTCGCTTTGGCAAATTCCATAAAATCCCCGAAAATCCACATGGCCACCAAAGTTGGAGAGATCTAAGAAATTCCTTTAATCCCAACATTTATGTTAACTCAATAGGAGCCACTAAAGGAGTACTTAATGAATTTAAGGACTAAAGGACACAAAAATAAATGTGAAAATGGGACCAGTAGGGGTAAAAAGAAAAAGAGGAGGGAATTGAAGGAAGTAATGTATACAGCCGTCCATTTCCAAGACAAAGTGCCTTAAATCATCTTAGGGCAGCAAACTACAAAAGAAACTGAAAATACTAGGTCCCTGCTTGAATAGCCAATGCCTGCTTGTCAGCCTCCCCTTCCCCCCACCACCCCACTTAGTTGCCCTCACCGGAACCAAAAAAGTTTAGTCTAAAATAAAAGTTTACTAGTCTGCAAAATAGCTCGCTTTGTCTTTTCTTATCAGTCTGTCCAGCTACTTAGGTCATAAGTCAAATACTTGAAGAGCTCATGAGCTAACTAGGATTGCTATGCATTGTGGGCTGCAACAAAATGCAGCAAGACAACCCTAAAGAAAACACCTAAAGCCCCTGCCTAACAATCAATAGCGACGTCCGTCTGGGAAAATTGTAACCCTGTAGTACTCAACCTATGAAGAATGGCAGGGAAGGACCTGCACACTAGGGGATAAATTGCTTGTTAAAACTGTGCTGGGTGTGCCTGTGTGTCAAACACCCAATCTTGCAAAACTGTCGTTACAAGTCTCACTTTGCTGTCCTGTGGGTCTCTAAGTCCATTCTTTGAGTTTGAACAGTTAAGTTTGTTTCTCATAGTTTGAATGCTTATTTTTGTACTAAATGTTGTATTAGGTATCTTATGTTTGCTGTCTTATTTAATTCTCACAATAAACCTACAAAGCAGTGGTATTCTTTCCATTTCATGGATGAAGAAACTGAGGTTCACGGAGGCTCAGTAACTAATGCAAGCCAAATGGGTAGTGGATGATGGAGTGGGCTGTGAATTCAGGTTTTCTTGTATCACTTGACCACAGGCTAAATGACAAGGGCTACTCTGGGGCCAATGACAGCTCCTAAGACCCAGAACACATGCATGCCTGTCAGGGCAGAGAAATTGAGTCTGTTTGGAAGCCAACTTAAGCCTTAGGAATATAGCCTTTAGAGCAAACGGTTTTAACCCAGGTCAGCAGATGGAATTCATGGGATCTATGAACTTGGACAAGAAACACTTCCGCGTCATTTTCACTAACTTTTCACTGAATTTAGCACCTCTCTCACCTATCACGTAGGCAATAAATCAGTGTTGGCCAGACCTGTAACTCTGTCATTAAAAGAAACTACAGATATTTGCATTTCACGTTACAGTGTTTACCAATATCTCAAAATATTGCTTATGCAATTTGTCATGACTTTGCATTTATAGTAATTAGACCTGCAGCAGACCTTGTTGTTTGTTACTCACAGAATATATATATATATATATATATAATTATGTTATGAATTAGTTTTCAAAAGTGTTTTGATAACTGTGGTTTAATATAATTTATTGGTCTTATTTTGTGCACTTAAAAATATTCTTCTGGAAAAGCCTCCATATGCCCCACCAGACTGTCAGAGGACTCCAGATACAGAACGGTCTCGATGCCCTGACTCAGCAAGAGTGACTGAGTCAAATCCTGACTGTCTCATATACCAGCTGGAGGACATTAAGTTCTGTAGCCTGGTGGGATGTCTCTCCTAAATCAGGGTTTCTCAGCCTTGGCCCTGTTGATGTTAGGGCTGCATAATTCTTTGCTGGGGATGGTATGGGGGTGAATGGGGGCTAGCTCGTGCACTGTGGGATGTGTGACATTCCTGGCCTTGACCCACAAGATGCAATAGTACCCCACCCCCCAGTATATTCCTGGCCTTGACCCACAAGATGCAATAGTACCTCACCCCCCGGTTGTGACAACCCAAAATGCCTCCTCTAGACATTGTCTCATGCCCCTGTGGGCAAGATGGCCCAGTTGAGAACTGCTGTGCTAGATGTGCAATGTGATATTAGAGGATTCTTGGGAGTACACTGCGATCATGCCTCAATGCCTGAGTGCTCCATGTGGCGCTCTATCCTGTTTTTGTTAGGACACCAGATTTCAGTAAGTTCAGGGTCAAGAGGGACTGGTCTCTCAGCCTGAGGGTCCACAAGGAAGTCCCTCTGGAGGGTTGGCAGCCTGCACTGGGGTGATTCCAACTGGGAGTCCAGGGGAGCCCAGTCCTGGCGAGCTGATGATGGGATGGAGAAGAACAGTGACTCATGGGTGCCTACGGGTGCCCCGGACCTGAAAGATAGACAGCAGGGGCTAACCCCAGATAGGCAGGAGTGTAGAAAATGCCTTCTCCAACCTCAGGGGATTCTTGGTTCTTTTAAAGCCAGAAGAATGAGGATGGCAGGGCCACAAGCTGCCCTAAAGGATGATGCAGTGCTGCAGGAGATTAAGAGGAAGGGGGCATTTTTAAATTCTTTTGGAGTACTGAAGGGGAAATAACAGAATGGTGAGAGAAGCTACTGGTTTTGAGTGTTGACACCATGCCAGGTGCTGTTCTAAGCAGCCTATGTCAACATGGTACTTAATTCTTACAGCTAACTAGGAGGTAGATGCTGTCAATGTCCTCATTTGGCAAGGCTCTGAGGCTTAAATGTCCACTGTCTTGCCTGACTTTCCTTCTGTAAATGACAGAACTGAAATGTAAGCCCAGATGTGTCTAATTTCAGTGCCCATGAGTTAAATCAATAGGTAGCACTGCCCAAATGCCATTCCAGATACCCAGAAAACCCAAAGCTGATACTGCTAAACAAAGGTTAGGGGCCCGTGAGAAACTACAGAGGTCAGAGCACTCCTAAGAGACTGAAGGGGCTCATCTGGGACAGTGTTTGACAAAAATGCAGGAGAAGGCGGGCCTTCTGTGGACCTCCTGTGACCTATGGACTTGGGAATTCCTTGCCTTGTGAATTCCATGCCGATGTTAGACAAGCATCTGGATCAATTACTAAACCTACGTCTCGTCAGCCCTTAGATGCCAAATGTGTGGTTGATAAGAATCATTGTCATTTTTTGACTTTTTAATAATAGCCATTCTGACTGGTATGAGATTGGGTATTTTTATTCTAAATAAATATTCTTTTTTATAACAACAACAAACAAATCACTGTAAGATCATAAGTTAACAAAGAACAAATCATGCCAGACAAACTTCGTTCTTCTTTATGGCTCTGCTCTCCTGATGGCTTGGTGGGAGGTGGGGGTGGAGGGGAATCTGCAGATGGCTTTCCATAGAGCATCTGCTCCCAGCTCTCATGAAATCCGTGAGGACAGATTTGGAAACATGAGCTAGACAATACCAGGGCAGGCTGCTTTCTGGTGGGTTAAAGACCTGTGCTCCAAGGGAACTGATTAGCCAATATGGGCTTAGAGGAATTCTCAGTGGCAAACTGGAGATGATTCAACAATCAGAATGAAAAATGTCACCGTGACATACTTGTGGAGAAAAGCAAACAGCACCAAGCAAGTAGATTTTCACTATATCTGAGATACCAGGGAGGGGAGCCAGTATTACAAAATTGCCTGGATTTAATGATGATGATAATAGGTAACACCTTTAAGTATGTACTCTGTCCCCAGGTGTGGTTCTAAGCATTTTACATAAATTAGTTCCTTTAGCACCTCCCAACAACCCTACAAAGTAGGTTATATTATTTTCCACATTTTACAGTTGAGGAAACTGAGGCGGAGAATGATTTCATAGTTACCAGATGCCTGAGATTTAGAGTCCCATTTAGCTCTGAGATTGTATTGGAAGGTGGGGAAAGAGTGGCTTGTATGTGCACAAAAAGAAGATAATCACGGTGTGCCAAGGGGCTTAGCTGTCCCTTTCTCTGGGAGATTTTTCTCTACCTCCCAAGTGGGGCTAGCGGCCTCTCCTATGCACTCACAAGGCATCCGGTACATGGCGCTGTCCCTGCCCCTCCCCGAGGTTTATAATTTCCTATGTGCATGTTTGCCTCCCCTCTAGATTCATTTCATCCCTTTAGGACCCTCAGCTTTGAGCACAGTGGCAACGCTGGGGTTTCCAGAAGTGTTGGTAAGGGGATTGAAATGAATGTAAAGATTGTAAAGTCTGAAGAAGAGACAGAAGGCCCTGGGGCCAGGGGGCATGCATGTGTGACAAAATCTCAACCAAAGGCCACAGGGGATGAGAAGATAGAAGGAAGAAGTTGTCATCCCCTGGAGCATGGTATTGAGGGAACCTGTGGGATGGTCTTTCCCCAAGGCCTCGATGGCCTCGCGGGGAGAGACCATGGTATAGACTCACTGGCCTCTCATAAGCTTCTCCAGCTCCACAAGCCAAGAAGCCTATGAAGTCTGTGGAGTTTCAAGTGCTGCACACTGGGCTGCTCACCTTTTCCTTTTAGAGTAAAGAGATCAAGAAGACATGGAGGAAATGTAAAGATATATTGGAAAGTACGTGGTATATAATATTAACTAAAGTCAATAGTTTACATTAGGCTTGGCTCTTGACTTCAGTTAATATTATATACCACATATTGATTAATCAGTTGTAACAGTTGTACCACACTAGTGCAAGATGTTAAAATAAAAAAAGGTGTGTGTGTGTGTGTGAGAGAGAGAGAGAGAGAGAGAAACAGAAAGACAGAAACAGATGAGGTGTATGGGAACTCTTTTTTTAGCAATTTTTCCATAACCTAAAATTGTTCTAAAAAGTAAAATCTATTAAAACAATACAGAGATCTCTGTGATCGCACCTAGAACATACCCGGGAAATACTGCTGATGCACTCATGTGCACTCACAGGAATCACAGAACTATACAGAGATGGGCGCCCTCCTCATTCCTTGGGGTAGACAGATATAGAAACAGGCTCAGCCAACATCAGATGTAACTTGCTCACTTTCTTTCCACTTCCCTTCAATAAATATGCAGTAGGTGAACATGCTTCATAGAATGGGAAATGCTACACAATTATTAAAAACGTGTGGGCTAAATCAATCTAAGAGATTGAAGAGAGCTGCTTCAAGTCATTATACTCAAGTGGACTCTGGGAGGGGTAGCCTTAGCATCTGCTCCTTCTGGCCAAGGGCCAAATGGATTGGGGTCCCGAGCACATCCACAGGAGGCCAGAATGGCTGTAACTGGTGTCTCTTGTCCTGATTAGAGGGTGAGGGCGGCTTCAGAGTTTCTAGAGTGTGGCCCCCGTCCTAAGGGGGCATTGGGATGGGGCTGCTCCTGAGCTGGGAGAAGGAGCTGGGATGAGTGTCAGGCAGTTGCTGAGGGGTGGAGGAGAAGGAGCGAGCAGTTGCTAAGAGAGCTGGCAGGAGTGGAGCTGGGTGATGTTTGACTCTGGATTAAAAAAATTTTTTAAGCAAGCAAAGAGAATTTCCACTCTGCCAGAGCTAGGAGACCTTTGAGACCATCTCTTCCATCTTCTCACTCTATAGCTGAGGAAACAGGGCCTGGAGGGATCCCCCAGAGACCCAGTGGCAGTCCCACACTAGGCTGGGCTGTCCCTGACTCCTAGGCTCATGCTTTGCAAAATTGAATGGGCCTGCAAAACAGCTCTCAAGCCTGAGCACTTCTCCCATCTCACCCAAGTAACTCCTCTGCCTTGAGCCTTTTAACGGCTTCTCATTCTGAGAGGAACCACTTACCTCCCCTACCATGGTATCTCAGGCCTTGACAGGCTGTCCTTCTCATCTCTCCAGTCCCATCTCTCTCCCCTTCTACCCACCTCCCCGCCCCTACCCAGCCTCCTCTCCATCCCCAACCCCCAGGCCCTGGAAGCACTGAAGACCCCTACTTTTCCTACCCAGCCAGGTGTCCTTTGTCTCCGGGATGGGATGTGTGCTCTTCCACCCCCAGTTCATCTCCCACTCTGCCTGCTACCAGCGGGGCTGCCATTTCCAGGACAGCCTTCCCCGAGAGTCCAGGCCTAGGTCAAATGTCCTGTAGTCCCTCCATTGTAGCTGTCTGCCTACCAGCCCTTATTTCCCACTGGGCCAGAGAGCACCGACAGAGCCTGGCGCAGAGGAGGTGCTTCATAAATATTTATTGACTGAAACTGGGTCTACAAATATTTCTTACAGGCTACAAGCAGAAAGTATTAGTCTCAGTTCCCTCAGGCTCCCTCTCATCCCCTTCCCCCACCTCTCCATGCATCTGCTGGTGTTTAGGTTCCTTTTCCCCATGGCCCTGGAGAACCAGTGGACCAGGGCACCAGGGGCAACCGCAATGGCTCTGAACATGTGGATGGGATGAGGCTCTAAGTAAGGCAGGTTCATGGCTCCTATGCAAGTAGCTAGACTACTTCCTTGGCCATTTAAAACAAGGCATGACTGGTTTTTATCCCTGTGTGGAGATGGTACAATGCCTGCTATGGCAGTTGAACACGGCTGGTTGACGCACACACACTCTGCATTAAGTTTTATGCTTTCAACACCACCATGTTCAGTGTTTGCCCTCCCTGACAAGTGACTGCTGCTCTCCGGGGCTCTGCTCTGCCTGCTAGACCAGTCATCTTTACTGTGGTCTTTCCCCTTTATTGCCTTGGAAATGTATGGGCATTAACTTTTATGCTTTAAATCCAAATAGACGATAAAATTAAGGAAGCAGGTTAGTGTTAATCTACAGGGTTGCCTGTGGAAACAATCTGAGTCCTTCAGAGTCCTTGAGGGGATTTCTGAGGTTGTCCTCCCCTCCCTGAGCAAAACTTTCTGTAGCATGCAGAGAAGGGCTGTGCTTGGAAGGAGGTCAAATGCCCCTTGGGCCAAGGAGTGAAAACTTCCCTTTGCATGGCAAACTCAGCACATAGAAGCCAGAGATGGGCTCCGGGAAGAGGATCCCAGAGGAATGGGGGTAGCACGTGTCAGTCTGTCTGCTTCAGGCAGACCCAAATAAGCTTCACCTGCAAACACATTCGAGGGGGAAAGAACCAAGGCAGGTTACAGGTGACGGGTATGCACATGGAGTTCATCACCCACATAAACCCTCCCGCCCTCTCACAGGGGGCAGCGGCTGTCATTTATCAAATGCCCACTTTGCACTGGGTGCTTGACTTACATTAGCTGTCATCTTTGCCACAGCCCAGTGAGGAAAGCAGAGGTAAACCTTCTCTAATTTCTACATGAAGACATTGAGATACACAGCCAGCTGGTGGTAGAGGTAAGTTTTGAAGCCAGGCAATGAGCCCGTTCTAAAGCCCATGCTCTCTCATGATTTTGCACTGCCTCTGCAGGAATTCCTAGAGATTAGGACCATATTAGGGGAGGGGAATGGGGTCTGCCTGCTGGGCATAGAGCGAGAGAACAAAGAAGTGGGAGAGGCATCTGGGCTGGCAGGGCTGCAGCCCACCAGCCTTTGCATTTGACAGTCCTAGGCCTGCTGTGTGGCCAGGGGCAAACACTTCTGCAGGGACAGGAGAGGCAGCTTTGTCTGTGCGCCAGCTGCTGGGCAGGGTGTAATTAGGTGGGAAAGGCTCTAAATGTTCCACACAGGCAAATCACAACCTTGCAATTAAAAAAAGCTACATGGAAGTGCAGTGTGAAGGCGCCTGTGACTTCTGCTGTGCTTATCATGGGGAGCAAGTCAGCCAGAAAACTGCTGCTCTGCAGTTCCTTGGATCCAACACTTAGCTGAACCTCTCAGGCTGACTTGATGGCACACACTTGGCTTCACCACTGCACCCTCTTGAATGCACTGCTGAGGGGCAGCCTTCTTGCCCTCTCCCAAAGTAGAGAGCACCGTGCTGGGCATGGTTCTCTCACAGCACACTGATAAGGCACAAGACACAATACAGCCCCACCTGTTCCAAATCTCCTCATTCCCGAGCACTGTGAGAGAGGCTGGCTCTGTTCAGTCATATCCAGGAGGCCTCTGGGGATTTTTAAAAAAAAAGGAAATTGGGATCATGACATGCTTGGAATATGGCGAGGATTTTTTCCTGCCATGTAAGTGCACTATAATGGGAAAAAACAATCACTGTAAACAATATTTGTGGGCGAGACTCTGATGTGGCCCCAAAGTAGATGGATCTAGGGGAGGGGCCCAGTGACTTGATTAGACACTGTTTGATGCTGCAAGTAAGCAGGCCCTGGCTTCCTATCAGCCTCTGTTCTTAGGACAATGCTGACACTAATACCTTGATGTACGTGGTACCTGTGTGCTGTAGTTTGGATGTTGGTCCCCTCTGAGTCTCGTGTTGAAATGTGATCCCCAGTGTTGGAAATGGGGCCTAATGGGAGGTGTTTGGGTCACAGGATGGATCCCTCATAAATGGCCTGCTGCCAGTCTTGCAATGAGTGAGTTCTTGCTCTGTTAGTTCCCATGAGAGCTGGGGTTTTTTTAATTATTTTTTTTAGAAGGAGTTTTGCTCTTGTTGCCCAGGCTGGAGTGCAATGGCACAATCTCAGCTCACCGCAACCTCTACCTCCCAGGTTCAAGTGATTCTCCTGCCTCAGCCTCCCGAGTAGCTGGGATTATAGGCATGCATCACCATGCCCTACTAATTTTGTATTTTTAGTAGAGATGGGGTTTCTCCACGTTGGTCAGGCTGGTCTCAAACTCCTGATCTCTGCTGATCTGCTGGTCTTGGCCTTCCAAAGTGTTGGGGTCACAGGCATGAGCCACTGTGCCTGGCCAAGAGCTGGTTGTTAAAAATAACCTGGCACCTCCCTCCCTCTCTCTTGCCTCCTCTCGCCATGTAATCTCTGCACATGCAGGCTCCCCTTCGCCTTCTGCCATGAGTGGAAGCAGCCTGAGGCCCTCACCAGATGCAGATGCCAGTGCCATGCTTCCTATATGGCCTACAGAACCTTGAGCCAAATAAACCTCTTTCTTTATAAATTACCCAGCCTCAGATATTTCTTTATAAGAAACGCAAATGGACAAAGATAGAAAATTGGTGCCGAGGAGTAGGGCATTGCTACAAAGATACCTGAAAATGTAGAAGCAGCTTTGGAACTTCACCCAGTAATGGGTGAAGGCTGGAAGAATTTAGAGGGCTCAGAAGAAGAGAAAAAGATACGAGAAAGTTTGAAATTTCTTAAGGATTGGTTAAGTTTTTGTGACCAAAATGCTGTTAGAAATATAGACAGTGAAGGCCATACACAAGGTTTCAGATGGAAATGAGGAACTTATTGGGAACTGGAGCAAAGGCCAGCATTGTCATAAATTGGCAAACAACTTGGCTGCCTTGTGTCCATGCCCTAGGGCTTTGTGGAAGGCTGAATTTAAGAGTGACGACCTGGCTGGGCGCGGTGGCTCTCATCTGTAATCCCAGCACTTTGGGAGGCTGAGGCGGGCAGATCATGAGGTCACGAGTTCCAGACCAGCCTGGTTCACATGGTGAAACCCCGTCTCTACTAAAAATACAGAAATTAGCCAGGCATGGTGGCACGTGCACCTGTGATCCCAGCTACTTGGGAGGCTGAGAATCACTGAGAATCACTTGAATCCAGGAGGTGGAGGTTACAGTGGGCCAAGATCACACAGTGAGCCTGGGCAATAGAGCAAGACTCTGTCTAGGGGGAAAAAAAAGAAAAAAAAAGAGTGACAGCCTAGGGTATCTGGCAGAAGAAATTTCTAAGCAGCAAAGCATTCAAGAAGTGACATGGCTGCTTTTAACAGCTTATGCTCAGGTATGAGAGCAAAGGAATGACCTAAAGTTGAAATTTGTAGTTAAATGAGAAGCAGAGCATTAAAACTTAGAAAGTTTGCAGCCTGGCTGTGGTAGAAAAGGAAAGAGCAT
Source organism: Homo sapiens (assembly GCF_000001405.40). NCBI lineage: Eukaryota > Metazoa > Chordata > Mammalia > Primates > Hominidae > Homo > Homo sapiens. Next base: position 223,219,071 of record NC_000001.11, read on the forward strand.
TTTCAGGAAAAGAACCCAAGGCTAGAGAGATTAGCAAGGAGAAAGGGAGCTGGGTGCTAATAGTCGAAACAATGGGAAAAAGGCCCCAAATGCATTCAGAAATCTTCAAGGCTGCCCCTCCCATCACAGGCCCAGGGGCTTAAGGGAACAGAATGGTTTCAAGGGACAGGGCCCTGATGTTGCTGCTCTTCACCACCACCTTGGGTTGCTGCTCCCTGCATCTCTGCACTCCGGCTCTAGCCAGGGCTCAAAGGGTCCCTGGTACTGCTTGGTTCTACTACAGAGACAGAAGCAGTAAGCCTTGGCAGCTCCATGTGGTGCTAAATCTGCAGCTGCACAGAATGCAAGAGGGGTGGAGGCTTGGCACCTTCCTCCTAGCTTTCAGAGGGTGTTGGAAAGCCTGGGTGCCCAGGAAGAAACCTCCCTCAGGGGCAGAACCCCTGCAGGGAGACTCTGCTAGAGCAGTGCCTAGTGGAGCTGTGGAATGAGGCTGCCATGGATACCTCAGAATTATAGAGCCACCAGCAGCATGCAACCTCAGCCTGGAAAAGCTGCAGGCACTAGACTCCAGTCTGCAAGAATGGCCACATGGACTGCACCCAGCAAAGCCATGGGGGCAGTGCTACCTGAAGCCTTGAAAGCTCACCCCTCACCTAGGATGCTGGACATGGAGTCAAGGGAGATTATTTTGGACCTTTAAGATTTAGTGTCTGCCTTGCTGGGTTTTGAACTTCTGTGAGTCCTCTTACTCCTTTGTTTTGGCTGATTTCTCCCTTTTGGAATGGCGATGTTTACCCAATGTCTGTTCCACTATTGTACCTTAGAAGTAAATAACCTGATTTTGATTTTACAGGCTCACAGCTATAAGGAAGTTCCCCTGAGTCTCAGATGAGATGATGGACTTTTGAGTTGATGCTGGAACAAGTTAAGACTTGGGGGATGAATGACTGTATTTTGCATTGAGAAAATCACATGAGATTTGGAAGCCTAGGGAGTAGAATGCTACAGTTTGGTTTATTTGATCCCTCCAAATCTCATGTTGAAATGTGATCCCCAGTGTTGAAGGTGAGGCCTAATGGGAGGTGTTTGGGTCATGGGAAGGATCCCTCATGAATGGCTTGGTGCCAGCCTTCAGTAATGAGTGAATTCTTGCTCTATTAGTTCCCACAAGAGCTGGCTGTTAAAAAAAGCCTGGCCCCCTCCCCTTTCTCTTGCCTCCTCCTGCCATGTGATCTCTGTACATGCCGGCTCTCTTTTCCCTTTCTGCAATGAGTGGAAACACCCTAAAGCCCTCGTCAGAAGCAGATGCTGGTGCCATGCTTCCTGTACAGCCTGCAGAGCTGTGAGCCAGATACACCTTTTTTCTTTATGCATTACCCAGTCTCAGATATTCTATATAGCAACACAAGTGGACTAAGACACTGTGCTACCTGTCTTCACAAGTGCTGCGGGCTGGAGAGGCAACCCTGTACTTGGTCTGCCAGTCAGGCAGCTTGATGTTGCTGCTGTCTACTTTGTAGGGGAGAATATCAGAGATAGCCCCTCATGCCTCTTCTGAACTGCCTAGTAGAAAATGAGGCACTTGCCCAGTGGTCTCTGAGACAACCTCCATTTAGAAGGTGAGCATTGCCTGTGTGTTATCTCCTTCCATCTCTTGTTCTTAATCTTACATTGAATCCCATCATCCATGATCACTGTCACCACCCCACTCCTGCCCACCCGACTCTACTGCACTATTAAAGTCACGCTTCAAACTGTCATTTTCTTTTAATTTTTAATCAGTCTGTGTCAAGAAGAAACAGGACTTGATCAAGCTTCCAGCCCTCACCACTCTATCAGCATAGCAATTTTAAGGATCAGAGCTTTGTTTACATTTGTCTAAAACCAAGAGAAGGAAAGGAATCAACTCCACAGATCAACATGTATTTGAAGAGACACTTCAGGACACTTTGGGAAATTTTTTAATCAATCAGTTTCTTAGGAACAACACCCAGTGGGCATGATGAGACCCTCAAAGTAGGAATGCAGGAATGATAGGCAGGTGAGGTGGCTGAGCTATCTGGGCTGGGAGGCCAGCCTCCTGGAATCTTAGGACAAATAAAAGGGGGAAAAATCCAACCTCACACTTCTTTTGAAGGTCGGATATGTTTACAGAAACAATTTCTGTTTTGGAAAATAAATGTATGGTTCAATTTGGGGCTGGGGGAACAATGACAATTGTCAACTAGAGAGAGGCTCATGATTCTGAGATAAATGTTAAGTGGAGTCTTTTTAAAATGCTGAAACAAAACATTACCTTGGTTACTGTCTCCATCATGAGATGTATTTGAACACATTCTGACCATGTGTAAAAACCACCAGATTTACCCAATGCCATGGATCCATGTGCCACACCATGAATACAAACACTGATGATATGTTACCAGAAGACAGCACAGAGTTCATGAGCTCTACTTTGTGAAGAAATTTCCAGAAAGCAGAGTCTGCCCATCTTTCCTTTCCTTTCTCACTGCAACTGCCACATCCTGCTTTCGTCTTGCTTCGAGTAGAGTTGTCTGGATGAAGGAAGATTCTCCAAATGTCACACAAGGACCTTTCCTTTGGGAGCTGGTCCCTTGCTGAGGGTGCAGGAGGCTCTGCTGTTCTTCCAGCATCTCAACACAAACTTTCTGCAGAGGCTGACCCATCCAAATTTGGAGTCCAGAGACAGTTTGAAGCAGATGTTAGAAGCAAATTTACATGATGTGACATGCTTTCAGAGGGGGCGGGGAGTACTTGCCAGTCAATGGGATGCGTGATGATTCGGTGGGATGTGCGTGGAATTGTCCCATGTTCCACAGCACGATACACATTTAACACCCCTCATCCAAGACCACGCGAGGGCTTCCCTGCTGCCCCGGTTCCCCATGGGTCTTGGTGAATCCTCAAATCTCATTTAAAAGCACTGCCATTGCAGTTTGTCAGCCTCACTGTGGAGCCTGAGATGCATAATGTGAACTGTGGTCCCCATGTAGACAAGTTAGACATTTTGCCCCCAGGCTCTATCCTTCTGTGACCTCACTCCAAGATACAAGGTCCTTTCCCCGAAGGAGCAGGAGAGTCATCTGGATCTTGACCCATATTAGGGATCTTCTTCCATTAGAGGAATCTCTGTAAAAGAAGAGACGGTTATTAGCTTAACATAACCAGAAAACACCATGACGATCTGGAATTATATGCCTCATTAAAATATCTACAGTTTCTCAAATCAGTGAGGAGAAGAAAATGTTAAGTTCCACATACCAGTTAATAACCAAATAAATCAACCTCCTATACAACATCTTTCTGTAACAATTGTTCTTTGCCAGGAAACAATTATGATCTTATTTCCAGTTCATAAAAAATAAAATGTTACATTTTAACCATAGGCCTTAATGGTCACACAAGCCAGAAAGTTGCAAATTCAAGTACAGAAAGGCAGCGTGGTTTGCAGAAAAGGAACACTGTGGTGGCCCAGGAGACCTCTGTTTCCACGTCATTACTGCCATTTACTCTCAATATAAGCCAAATTAGTGCTCTCATTTGCAAAGTGGCACTGGGGCTCCCCTTCTGTAGGAAACAGAGACCTAATCAATCTGACACATTTTCCTTATTTTACCATGAATCTACCCTTCCTTGTGACAGGTACACATGCATCTTTTACTTCACATCTGGTAAAAATAACTTCTATGTACACAGAACTCTGGGGCTAGAACACACTGCTGGGCCCTAGTGCGTGCCTCTGGATCCTTCTTCCTGGCATGTATGTGCCATCCTGTCCCTAAGCCCCACTTCCAGGAGTCCTATCTAATTAAGGAATAAAGAAGAAATACATTCCAGATCATACAGACACCACAAAAATGAAGCACCGGCCACTGCTGCCTTTCTACTCTGGATGGCTCGATGCCTTTTGGTGCCTCTTGAAATTTCCATTAATGGGCTCATTACTTGCAAGATGATGATCATTCCCTACAATAATTGGCCTTGCCCAAGGCCTCTACATGGAGAGAGAGCATGAAGCAATTTAAGCTGAGTGAGAGGTAAACAGATTGATTCGACTCTGTGCTGGGGGGTGGAGCGTGCGTAGCAAGGAGCTGGCTTGAAGATGCTGGTGCGGAGGTGTTTGCAGGTGTGGCTTGGGCCCTGGGGCAAGCACTTACCATCTGCAATGTCGATGCCTGGGCTGGTGGATGCCACCTCCTCTGCCGTGCTGGCAATTATGTCAGGGTTGTCCGAAGCAGGGTGGGTGCTCTCTTGGCACCTGGGAGGTGAATACAGACTTTGGAGCAGCTCAGAAGAGCCTGAGACGCTGTCACAGGTTTCTGACTCCCCTGGGCCTGTGTCCGTGTCCCCTGAGCCGGGGTATGCTGGGGGGCTCTGGTCGTCCACGGGTAAGGGGCAGCCCTGGCCCACAGAGGCCATGTACCCGGGGCCTAAGGCACTCAAGCCGCCACTCACAGCTTCGTCATAGGACGGGAGCATGACGGGCACGCCGTCTACCACCACAAAGTCAGGGTCACTGCTGGAACTCCGGGGAGGCCCCCTGTGTAAAGGAAAGAAGTGCCAACATGTGAGAGCCATGCCACTCTGGGGATGAGGCCACCCATACTCCCTCCTGCACTCGGGGTCCTCAGGACCCACGATGGGCAGCAGAGTCCCGTATGGAGGATAATATGGAAGAACCAGCCTCCTTTCAGGGACTCCTCTGGAAGATGATGCTGCCATCCCGGCTGCCCATGCTCCGGAGAGAGGAGGTTTTCTTTTTGTCACTCTCTCGTGTCCTCCTGCCTCTGGGCCTTACTATCTCCTCATGCTTTTTCCCTTGCTCCTTTGACCTGTGGGCTTTGGCCTTCTGGCCATAAGCTCATGGAGCAAGGGACAACATAACCCTTTCTAACAGAGCAGCCCAGTGCACCTCTGAAGTGTCCTGTAGGATGGGATTGAAAGTGGGATAGCACTGTTAAAAGTACAGAAAATAGGTCAGGTGTGGTGGCTCACACCTGCAATCCCAGCACTTTGGGAGGTTTTGCTTGAGCCCAGGAGTTTGAGACCAGCCTGGGCAACATAGTGAAACCCTGCCTATACAAAAAATAAAAATGTTAGCCACATGTGGTGGCACGTGCCTGTAGCCCTAGCTATTCAAGAGGCTGAGGCAGGAGGATCCCTGGAGCCCAGGAGTTTGAGGCTGCAGTGAGCCATGATCGCACCACTGCACTCCAGCCTGGGTAACAGAGCGAGATGTTGTCTCATAAACAAACAAACAAACAAACAAAAAACAGTAACTGTGGACCCTCAGTGCCCAGAGGGACTAGCTGGCCCTATGCTCATCATGTTTCTTTGTTGTTTTCTGCATTCAGTATAAAAATCATTACATTTTAGTCTAGATTTAAAAAAAGAAAAAGAAAAAGGAAAGAAGGAAAAAAAAGGAAAGCTGTGAGCACTATGTCACTACCCCGTTCAAGCTACGCAGGCTCACCGCCACCTCCTGACCCCCCGCCACTCTTCTAAGCAAGGCCCGGGTTGCTGGTGTGAGGGCTCCAGGAGCGGCGGCAAAGTGAGTCTGCATGTCTGCAGGGCTCCCTCACGTGGGCGCGCACACAGTTCCTGGCCTGCTCCCTTTGCTTCTCAGCCCTCTGCACATTCAACACTGCCTGATTGGAGCCCGGGGCGTCTGACATCACAGCCTGGGCTCCGTGTGACCCCCATACTCTGCTCCTGGCCTCAAGAGGAACCCAGGGTGGCTAATAAGTAGCCAATAGAACTTGGTTTCTTCCTTTTTTTTTTTTTTTTTTTTTTTTTGAGATAGAGTCTCACTCTGTCACTCAGGCTGGAGTACAGTGGCACGATCTTGGCTCACTGAAACCTCCGCCTCCCAGGCTCATGCGATTCTCCTGCCTCAGCCTCCCGAGTAGCTGGGATTACAGGCATGCACCACCACCCCCAGCTAATTTTTGTATTTTTAGGAGAGACAAGGTTTCACCATGTTGGCCAGGCTGGTCTTGAACTCCTGACCTCAGGTGATCCACCTGCCTCAGACTCCTAGAGTGCTGGGATTACAGACGTGAGCCACTGTGCCCGGCCGGAACTTGGTTTCTTATTGTCTCTGCTGGGAACTGGTGCTGAGGGAGGAGGCCAAAGGTAAAATATGAGGAAGAGAAGACCCAGCTGGGTGGGCAGACCCTGAATCTCTGAGTGCTGGCGGCAGGGGCTCTAAACCCAAGAAGATGAAACGTCTGGGGGTGGAGGGGAAGCACAGGCTGTGCGTCTCTCTAAAGCTCAAGTCCACTGACTTTTTGAAACATCTTGCAAAGGCTTGGAGATTATGGTGGTGGACTCCTTGTCCCGCAGCTCTTAAAGACTGCCCAGAGAGGGCGGGAGACCACCAAGACCATGCTCTTCAGGGGGCAGAAGACAAGAGGCAGGAGGAAAGGAGGAGCTTGCTCCGAGCCAGACTGCTCTCCCTCCACAGCCACCAGTAGTTACTGCTTACCAGTAGTTACTGCTTCCTTGACAATGATGCTCCCTTCCTCTCCGGCCACTTCACTGTCTTGTGCTGGCCTCCTCTTCTCACTCAGGACTCCCTGCCTCCTCACCATCCCTGGCACCTCCATGTTGTCTAGGCCAGGGTGAGCAGACGCCTCTCTTCTCCATTTCTCACCCTAACAGTCCACACCCAGGATACAGCTCCCAAGATCTGGCAGCTTCCCCTCCACGTGTCCCCGCCATGCCACTCAGCTCCCATACACCCCTCGTCAACATCCCTGCAGGCTCTACTCTTGTGGAACCTGGAGAAAAAAAGTCCATTCTTGGTTTGCCCTTGAGATTCTTGTCATGCATTTGGATTCATGTCATGTATTTGAAGCCAACCTTCCCAAAACAACTCAAGAATAATATAAGATGAAAGACTCAAGGGCTGAAGAACATCAAATGAAAGGGTTTCAAGAACATTTTAAAAACATCTTAATATTTAGTGGATATCCTGGAAACTTTTCTTCCAAGCATATGTAGAAAAATAGCTCTGTGGGCTCTTTTAAAGTACTTGAACGCACTATCAATCACAGCCTTGTGGGTTGGCTTTCTCTTTGTAATCCTTAGGCCTTCTTGAGATACTGTAATTGCTCAATGATAGAACATGGTCCCTTGATGAATATATAATAATGTGGAAGACAGAGAGTGGATGGCAGGTTGGAGAGGAAGGAAGGTTTCAGCATCTTAGCAAGAGCTTGCTATGGCACCAGGATGGCACTGACACACCTCTGGGCCTGGGGAGGGATGCAGGTGACACCCACATCTAGCACACATTTGTGGCTGGGGAAAGAGGGATGCACCTATCAGGTTGTGACCATAGCGGGTCCCTGCTGCCAGGCAGGGGAGAATTGCTAAGTGAGGGAGGCCGCCCTGTGAGGTGTGAGGTTAAGGGCAAAGGCGGGTAGGTGCTGTCTCCAGCAGCTCTGCCCATTTCCTTCACTCCTCTCACAGCTGGGAGATGTGAGCAACACACTGCATTTTCCTGAAGGGAAGAGAGAAGTGGTTAATTCCAGGAGCCTCCTCCTCCATGAGCAATAGTCCCTTTTTCAGGTACATATGACTCTGGGGACTAGGCTGTCCCTGTGGGCAAAAAACAAATGCCCTTTTCTGAAGCATTAGGTTCTGAAATGAGAAGACTCTGACATGGCCACAGAAGGCAAGGAAAAGACAGCTTGTACCAATGGCCCCTGGCTAGTGTTCTGTGGTGTTTTGCTGTCCTCACCTCTTCTTCTCAATGTTCATAAACTTATCCTTTTGCTGTCTAAACTACTTCTCCCTCCAGGAACAATGATTTGCCAGCAGTAGTGCTGGGTGGCTCTTCTTTGTTCCTAAGGGTGCTGGTGCAGTCCTCTTTGGTGGTGATGACTTGAGGCTGAAGATACCAACCCGAGCTGATTGGTGCAGCTCAGAAGGATGTAGAAGCGCCTTCCACATGTCCCACTCCAGGGGTTCAGATAAGACTTCATGGTAGACTCTCACTAGCCCTTTCCTGATTGCTCCTGGAATCAGAAAAGTCTTTTCTCCTTCCTGAGGCTTCTCAATGCATAACACTTTTGTTCACACACCTCTGACCTGTGTCCCAGTCAGCTGTGTGCGCATCTTACCCTCCCTATAGACTGAGCTGTGTGGTGCTTCACTCCAGGGCCACATGCAGGGGGACCACAGTGGGAATGGTGCCTCTGGGTGGAGCAGTCCACAGCCTGTAGCCCTAACTCTGTGATCCCATCGCTAGCCCCCCATGATGCCCACCTGCAAATGGTCTACTGCAGGAAGGAGGGAGAGAGGTAGGAAAGAAAGAAAGAGGAAAATGAGGTCTGTCTCCAGCTTTGTGCTCAAAACATCCCAGAACATTGTTTTTGCTCTCCCCTGTTTCCCTTTAGAGCTTCAACTTTTCACTCATCACTTTCTCCCTCTGCTGCTAAGGGTAGCTGCATTGAGTCAGACCTTGAGCCACAGCTGCCAAGACATGACACTGACCTGGGGGGAAAGTGGGCCTTGAACTTGGTCTGGAACATCCTGGCCAGGATGACGAGCAGCAGCACCAGCAGCACACTGGTTGCCGTGAACGCCACAATCTTCCACGTGGTCAGGAGGGTCTCATGGGTGCTGGGCCACGTTTGCTCTGCATGAGGGAGAACAAAGCTGTACGTGAGGCTCCCAGACCATGAGAGGTGCCGAGGTTCCCCGTGGGCTCATTTGCTGGATTCATCTGGCACAAGAGATGCGTGCAAGGTGCCTCTGACCCCCAGGGCTCGGCAGAGATACCATGTGCCCCTGTAGCTCATGTAAATTGCATCAGGATCCACCCAACACTAAAAACCTGTCTCCAGCATGGGCTCTGCCAGGTTGCAGACCTGCATGCTCACATTCCAGTCCCAGGCGCAGGCCTGGCACAGGCTTAAATAATGCATCTGCCTCTTGAGAACAGAGGTGGGCATCTCTCTTGCCTGGAGAAGTTGCTCCGAAATGGACCAAGGGGTGGGGGAGTGGGAAGCTGGGCCCTTTGTGAATGTTCTGGGATATGCTGTGGGGTTGGGTAAAGCAAGAAACAGAGGGTAAAGGGGACCCCTGTTCCACAGCTCTCATGCCCTACCACCTCTAGCCATCAACTGCCTGCCAGGTCAGGGGCAGCAAGAGCAGACCTTTCCAGAAGAGACTTATCCTTTGGGCACAGGCCACCCTGTCTCTTAAATGTCTCTCTGCCTTGTCATGACCACCCTCTTAGACACTCTCTTTGCACTTCTCCCCCGGCTGGCTCACAGGATCATGTGTGCGCCTCCAGAGACCTGGCATTAACAAGTGCTTCCTTGTGTCCAGGGGAAAGGCATGCAGTCATCAGCACTGCTCAGGGCAGCATCCCCAGCCTGGAAAGGGCTGGAGAGAGTGGGAAGGAGACAGTGGGTGTGTGCTGGTGCCCCAGTCTCTATCCTGTGGTCACTACCCAGGTGCACTGAGGCCAGTGGGGAAGGTGGTTTGCAATTAAGTCATTTGCTTTTAACTATGAAGCCCTGAAGCTTGCAAATGGCCTATAGTTTTACAAGTGAGAGCAGGTGTTACCCACAGTATCATCTGTATTCTGATATGTGTCCTTGAGTGGAAGAGAAAGGTAAAGTTATGCGTTGCTTGGGTCCAGGGCAATGCATCTAATTCTGGTCACACCCACAGGCCTGTGTCCTTACCAGTGGAAAAGGACAAGGCTGGGAGAAAAAAGAGTGTGGAGGCTGGAGGTCTTTCCATGGATGCTAGGGGTCTAGGGACCCTGTTTAGATGGTCAGCTTTTTAACCTGGGAATGGACAGGTTAATACTCCTGACCCTCTGAATAGGGTCCCTAGGCCCCTAGCATCCATGGAAGGACCTCCAGCAGACAGTTAATACTCTTGACTGTCTGAACAGGACCTACAAGCATCTGGCACAGAGCCCAACAGCAGCCCCATCGACCCGCAATGATATGTTTCGATATCCTGTTCCTGACACTGGGTGGGGGAGGAGAGATACAGCTTGGTACATAACCACCACCCACTATGTGCAGATGGTCCAAGGAGGGTCCATCTCCTCCAAGGGTGAGGCCTTCAGTCTTACCTGATTTGATGCAGTAGACTTGATAAGAAGGAAACCACTCTCCATACTGGCAGGTGATGTACTTGTAGTCGCTGGTGAGGCTGTAGCCAGGATCGCAGTAAAACTCCACCACAGTTCCGTGGTTGTAGCGCTCACAAGGCCGCGGGTGGCAGACGAAATCTCCGTGACTCACCATTGGAGGTAGTGGACAGACTTGGGCAGTAGGGGAGAATAAAAGTTTCAGAACCACAAGCTCACCTTTGTCTGAAGCCCCTAAGACGAAGAATGGCCTAGGAGAACTCAGTTAAAAATGTGCTTATGGATTAATCACCAGGCTACTGAGTTGCATTAGAGATGGTCTCTTTTTTAGTATTTCATGGAAGGCGGAATGGAAGCCTGCTGTAATATTCTGAGCACGTGCCGTTGTGACATGGCATTGTGAAGTACATCGTAAAAGAGAGGTTCGTTTTACAATGCAAAGAGTATGCCTATTTAATAGAGAGTATTAAGCTACTGTATTAATAATGCATGCTATTATGTGCCAGACAACCTAGTAAATAAAATTAACATATTTCTGTACAAAATCTTTACTGAAAGGCATAGTTATCCCAAGCCTGTTTCTGTGACCACAGTAGTAATTTGGGTCTATTAAAATCACAGGGCAGTGTCCCTAACCTGATCCCCTACAGCTCTGCTGAGGCTTAGCCAATGACGAACATGGAGCAGTTCTTCTAGCTCTGCTTGCAGAGCCAGGGCACAGCCTCCAGGGCAACCAGAGTTAGGTGCCTTGGGCATGAGGCTTGGTTCTGCCACCAACACCACACTGTGTGACCTTAAGCAGATCCCTTAACCTCTTTGAGCCTTGATTTTTCTCCTCTGTCAAATGGAAGCTTATTCTACCCTAGGAGGACGCCTTAGGGTTCTGACTCGAATATCCCATCATGTTAGGGGAAGAAAAAGTTGTTTTTAGTGTCTTTAGTATCTTGGTACTGCATTCTAGGTTGCGAGGTAAGGACGGTTCCATCTCTGTCACCACAAAGACGGCTTCAGTGGGAGTTCGGTGCTTTTTATGCCACAAGGAGCTCATTCTTGGATGAGGACTCAGAAATAAACAGTGCTGCTGCTTAAACATTCTTCAAGAAACAGTCAAACCACAGATTCTATCAGTGCCAACTTCAAACCCACACTCACAGAAACCAGTAAGAATTCTGACCAAAAAAAAAAAAACCTAAACGAAAAAGAGTTAACTTTTGATTCCCTCCCTTGGGGTAACCAAACACCCTGGCCAGTGCAGAACAGGCACTGCCCACCATACAGGCCAGAAGAGGTGCCCTCTCCACACTGGCCACTGAAACTACTCACTGGCAGCAGTGGGTGCCACTTGGAAAACAAGATGGCCCTCCCTGCAGAGCAGGCCACCCTGCCGGAGGTGTCCCGATGCGTGTGAAGCAGGGTTGGAGGCACACTACAGGCACTCTCTAGTCCTTCAAACAACACTGTAGTGTAGATCTTGTTGGTTCTTTCAGAGAAGGGGAAACGGAAACTCACAGAAGCAACTAGAGGAGTGAGTAGAAGCCCAGGTATGCTCTAGACAGGCCTAGGTCTGAATTCCGGCTGAACTACTCACCAGCCGAGTCACCCTAAACCAATCCCTGTGCATCTTTGAGCTTCAGGGTCCTCAGCTGTACAACAAGAGTCTCTGAGGGCTATCTCGAGAAATGCTGGTGAGGGCTTAGTTCAGAGCTGACAAACTGTGATTATTCAGGGAAAACCAGGACTTGAGTATCTAAAGAGATGGAATTTAACGAGGTGATGGCAAAGTGGAGAAGCCAGCAGGAACACCCCAAGATTAGTGAGAGCAGGAAGCCACTACCGCTCCTGGGCTGGTGGGATGAAGGGGTCTCGTTGCTGGGGTCCCTAGTGGAAGGTGGAACCATGGAGGTCTATCCCGCGGGAACTGGAGCCCGGGGAAACTCAGACCCCGCTGGAGATGTCCCCAGGGCAGGAACAGTGAGGGAGAAGTAGCCTGGTTCTCCACCTGCCCACCCTCCAGGCTCCCTCTGGACAAAGCCAGTGGGGAGCCAGGTGACAAGGGGGTCTGGGAAACAGGGTCTGCGGTGGACAGCCTGTCTAGATCTGGTGCAGTGCAGGGAAGGTCCAGGGCAGATCTGAGGCTGGCAGGCCCAGGTGTGCTCAGTAAATGGTGGCTGTCAGGTGGCTGCTGTGAGCATCCCACAGGTGGACACTGGCAGAGACAGGCTTTGAGCTCTGACTCTGAGGCCCAGGAGCTTTCTGCTGCTCTGCCTCAGGGTCTCTCCTGGGCTGGCAAATGCAGTCACACAACCCCTTGCATTTCCACAAACAGGGGCTCTTTTCAAGTTTGCTACCACCAGGGTGCTCTGGGAGCATCTCCAGGAAATAAAGCAGAAGGAAGCAAAGGGAAGGACAGCTGATGAGGAACAGGGAGAGAGAAAAAGGCACTGGCCACGTTGTTGAACTGGTCCTGGGAGATCCAGGGATGTGGCCGTAAGGGCTCTTCTCTCCTTGGAGGCCCTCCTCCGTGCTGCTTCTCCTCTACTCAATTCCTGGTTCTTCCCACAAGGAAGGGGTCTCCAGTGGCCCCGGGACTGCCTGGGGGCCCCCTTCCCTGCACTGCTGGAGCATTCCCCAGCGCTGTTGTACGCTCAGGAGGCCGGCATCTTCTCTGGGACAGGAGCCCCTTTCTGTGGTCAAGGGTATGGCAAGTGTCCATTGACAGATGAATGGATAAAGAAAATATAGGCAATATACACCACAGAATATTATTCAGCCTTAAAAAGGAAGGAAATCCTGCCATTTAGGACACAATGGAGAAACGTGGAGGACGTTCTGCTAAGTGAAATAAACCAGGCACAGAAAGACAAGATACTGCATGATTTCACTTATATGTGAAATCTAAAGAAGTTGAATACATAAAACCAGGGAGCAGAACAGTGGTTACCAGGGTTGGGGAGGTAGAGGGAATCAGAAGATGTAGGTCAAAGGGTAAAAGGGTGCAGTTCCATAGGACGAAGCCCAGAGCTCTGATGTATAGTATCCAGACTCCAGTTAATAATACTGTATTATACACTGGAAATTCACTAAGAGAGTAGATTTCAGGAAATGGATTATGTTAACTTACTTGACTGTAATAGTCATTTCACTGTGTAGATGTATCTCAAAACATCATGTTGTACACCTTAAATATCTAACATTTTTATGAAAGAGAAAAAGAGGTACACAGAGCAGGAAGGCACTTCTCCTCAAAGGCTCTCTAAACAAGCCCCTGAGGGCCACTGTAGGATTAGAAAATTACCAAAACTCTTTTCAAAGCACAGAAAATGTCATGAAAGAGCCCACATAAATGTATGCAAGTTTGTTATCAGCAGCATTTTTTTCTCACTGGGCCTGAAAGATGAACGACTGTTCAAATCATTGCATTCACCCCGAGGCAAATGGTCCCATGGTGTGCTCAAGAATTTCTGTACCATACAGATCAACCATTTAATCAATCATTTAATGAGCAAAGGCAGGCAGCACGGAGTGGCATATAGGGCCGTGGGCTGTGGAGTTACCCAAATTTGTGTTCAAACCTCAGCTCTACCACTGATGAGCTTCAGGGTGTTAGGCAGCTTGTTTGACTTCTCAGGGTCTTAGCTTTCCCATCTGTCTAATGAGTGAAACAATTCCCAACTCCTCCAGTTGTTGAGAGGATTTGAAGATGTATGAAAACTGCATAACACAAAGGTCAGGGACACAGTAGGCACTTAATAAATAATAGCTATTAGTATCACTGGTGTCCAAACTTGCTGGGGTTCCCATGCTGCCCTTCCCGTACTGGGGCACTACCAGGCTCCTTATGCAATTAGGATACCTGGGATTGCACCAGGGAAGCCCCAAACATTCAGAGAATGTGAACACATCTCATCACCACATTTTCTCAGAGGCCAGATAAAAACCATCCATTGTAGAGGCCTTAACTCTGAGACTGTCATAATCGGCTGGTAATGGAGATGCATTTTCCCCTTAAGTAGAAACAATTATCTTCACACCTTGTAGTGTTTGTAATGATTGCACCTGGCAGACCATTAGCTTTGCTGTAAAGGAAACCCCATGTGGTGTGGTGAGGGTAGGGGGTGGGAGCGTTTCTTTTAACTTGGAAGGAAACAACAACAAAAGTATTATTAATTATAAACTTAGGGAGGCTTATTTAAAAATCCCAATATAAAAATACCCATGGCTTAGGGGACTTCCACCTCTCACCCAACACTGCCTCTCACTATGAGGCTCGACTGAGTACTGCTACTGTCTCCTCTCTACACCTTCCCTAACAGACAGACAGTTCCACACAGACAGACAGACAGACGGATGGACACACTCCCACACCCAGAGGCCTCAGACACATGGCAAACAGCCCCATGAACAACGGCCACATGGTTGGCGTTTGAAATAACCTGTGTGTTCCTAGAAATTCCGGTGAGTAAAAGTGGACCGGGCTATGGCACTTTTTTCTGTTCTTATCTTAGAACTCCTTTAGGCTCAGCCTGTGACTCATATCCCGTCAGTTGCTAGTTCTAAGGGAAACACACCCAGGGAAAACCTGTGGGTGGCATGAACAAAGATCCTTCTGCAACTCCATTTTTCTTAATGTTTCTTACTTTAGACATTATTAGCAACAGGGCTTTTGTGAGGCTTGGGAGTCTGGACATTCAGTGGTTATAGGCAGAATCCAAGAAAGGCTCTGCTGACACTCAGCCAGAAACGGATGATTCCTGTCCCCGAGGTGTGAAGTCTCTGTTCCTTGTTTCATGACAGAGGGTTACGGCTCTTTTCAGACTAGCTGGAAAATTCCTACCTACCCAAAAGGCAGCAGAGTCCAGTTTTTACCATACTTAGTCTCTTGTGGAACTTCCCAGAGGTGGGCTACATGTGGGGAGGCGGGACCAAAGGATAGGGTGCTGAGGCATGGGACCTGAAGTCTTCCCTGTGTTGGCCAAGAATGGCCTGAGCTGGGCTGGATGGGGCTGCTATAAGACTGCAATTTCCCCAAATAAGCCTTCCCTCATTTTCCAGCCTCCTTTCAATTTAGTGTCTTTTCCTCACCCTCCCTCTGGCTATTTCCTCCTATGCAGATTTAATTCCAACACAAACACCAGCCTCTTTGGGAAGCCTTCCCTGAGTGCACAGGCAGTGATCTTGGAGTTCCTGGGCACTTTGTGCATTTTACATGCCTAATACTTGTACAGATTCATAAACTCTTTGAGAGCAGGGGCCGTGTCTCTAGAGTTTTTCTAACTCCTGTAGCATCCAGCATGATTCTTGATAAACATTTGCTATTTGAGTGAATGGAAATGTCAAAGTTTTCACAATAAACCAGAGGTGGTTCCCTGTCCACTTCTCTCCTGTTGGCAATGAGCTGCAATATTCATGCTGTGTCTGGTCTCATTTTTCAGTGGGGGAAAAAAGGTGAGACATGATAATAGTTTTATCATAGCCTCATGGCTTCACCCGACGGACACCACACACCAGGATTTGTGTCCATTTTAGGGATGTCTTAGTGACGTGAAATAGAGCTTTGCCAGTCCCACCTCTGAGATACACACTAAAATAAAGAGGCCAACGTTTCTAACACCTTCAAAACAATGCCAGTTGGTTCTTCCCTTGATGCACTAACAGGTGTGCAGATCATGGTGAAATACAGTATAGGATAAAAATGGAATGTTTAATTCAAACGTCCTTTATTGCAGGAGAACAACATTTAGAACAGAGATGTGGTGGTGCTAGTTGAGGAACAGGTAGGTGCTGGGGTGGGAGAGGACTTTAACACAGGGCAAAAATAAAGCACAGCAGCTGCCAACCTGATGTGTGGGAAATAAAGGACAGGGAAAAGATGTTCAGGTCTTCCTCCTGAAAAAAAGAAGTGTAAATATGAAAACATAAGAAGACTATTTCTCTTGATTGAAAAAAAAAACCTAAAGCCCTTTTCTTTCTAAAAAAAATAAAGACTTTATTTTTAAGAGCAGTTTTAGGTTCACAGCAATATTGAGCAGAAGGTACAGGAAGTTCCCGTATACTCCCTGCTCCCACGCATGCACAGCCTCCCCCATTATTCACATCCCCACCAGAGTGGTGCATTTGTTACTGCTGATGAACCTACATTGATACATCATTATCACTCAGAGTCGAGTTTACATTAGGGTTCACTCTTGGTGTTGTACATTCTATGGGTTTGGATAAATGTGTAGTGACATGTATCCACCATTCAAGTTATCATGCAGGGTAGTTTCATTGCCCCCCCAAATCCTCTGTGCTCTGCCTGTTCATTGCCCCACCCACCCCCAAACCCCCAACAATCACTGATCGTTTTGCTGTCGTCATAGTTTTGCCTTTTCCAAAATGTCATATAGTTGGAATAGGACAGTATATAGCCCTTTGAGATTGGTATCTTTCATTTAGTAATATGCATTTGAAGTTTCTTCATATCTTTTCATGGTTTGAAGGTTAATTTATTTTTAGTGTTAAATAATATTCCATTGTCTGGATGTACCATAGTTTATTTATCCATTCACCTACTGAAGGACATCTTGGTTGCTTCTAAGTTTTGGCAATTATGAATAAATCTGCTATAACATTTGTGTGCAGGTTTTGGTGTGGACATAAGTTTTCAGTTTCTTTGGGTAAATACCAAGGAGAAGGATTGCTGGATCATGTAAGAATACATTTAGTTTTGTAAGAAGCCATCAAACTGTCTTCCAAAGTGGTTATATCCCTTTGCATTCCTGCCAGCAACAAATGAGAGTTCCTGTTGCTCCACATCCTCTTCAGCATTTCGGTTTGTAAGTGTTCCAGATTTTGGTCATTTTAATAGGTAAGTAGTGATCTCTCTTGTTTTAATTTGCATTTCCTGATGACATATGACTTGAAGCATCTTTTCATATGCTTGTTTGCCATCTGTATATCTTTGATGGTGTTAAGGTCTTTGGAACATTTTAAAATCAGGTTGTTTGTGTTCTTGTTGTAGACTTTTAATAGTTCTTTGAATATTTTGGATAACAGTCCTTTATCAGATGTGCCTTTTGCAAATATTTTCTACAAGTGTGTGGCTTGTCTTCTCATTCTGTTAACATTGTCTTTTGCAGAACAGAAGTTGTTAATTTTAATGAAGTCCAACTTATCAATTATTTCCTTCATGCATCATGCCACTGGTGTATCTAAAAAGACATCGCCATACACAGGTCATCTGGATTTTCTTCCATGTTATACTCTAAGAGTTTCACAGTTTTGCATTTTACATTTAGGTATACGATCTATTTTGAGTTAATTTTATGGAAGAGTGTAAGGTCTGTGTCTAGCTTTTTTTTTTTTTGTTTTTGTATGTGGATGCCCAATAGTTCCAGCATTATTTGTTGAAAAGTCTGTCTTTGTTCCATTATATTGCCTTTGATCCTGTGCCAAATATCAGTTGACTATATTTACGTAAGTCTATTTCTAGGCTCTCTATTGTGTTCCATTGATCTATTTGTCAATTATTTCACTAATACCATGCTGTCTTGATTACTGTAGCATTATGATAAGTCTTGAGGTCAGGCAATGTCAGTCCTCCCACTTTGTTCTCCTTCAATATTGTGTTGGCTATTCTCAGTTTTTTGCTTCCCCATATAAACTTTAGAATTAGTTTAATAATATCAAAAAATAACTTGCTGGAATTTTGATTAAGACTACATTGAATCTATAGAGCAAGTTGGGAAGAACGAACATCTGGACAATATTGAGTCTTCCTATCCATGAATATGGACTATCTCTCCATTTATTTAGTTCTTTGATTTCTTTCATAAGAGTTTTGTAGATTTCCTCATATAGATCTTGTACATATTTTGTTAGATTTGTGTCTAAGCATTCCATTTTAGGGGCAGCTAATGTAAATCGTATTGTGTTTTTAACTTCAAATTCCACTTGTTCATTGCTAGTATATAGGAATGTGATTGATCTTTGTATACTAACCTTGTATCCTGCAACCTTGCTATAATTGCTTATTAGTTCTAGGAGGGTTTTTTGGTCAATTATTTTGGATTTCTTACATAGATGATCATGTCCCCTGTGAAAAAGATAGTTTTATTTCTTTCTTTCCAATCTATATATCTTTTATTTCCTTTTCTTGCCTTATTGCATTAACTAGAACTTCCAGTATGATGCTGAAACGGAGTGATGAGAAAGAACATCCTTGCCTTGTCCCTGATCTTACGGGAAAACTTCTAGTTTCTCTTCATTAAGCGTGATGTTAGCTATAGCTTTTTTGTAGATATTCTTTATACGGTTGAGGATGTTGCCCTTTATTTCTAGTTTACTGGGAGTTTTTTTTTAAATCATAAATTGGTGTGGGATTTTGTCAAATGCCTTTTCTGCATATATTGAAATGATTTTTCTTTTTTAGTCAGTTGTTGTGATGAATTGCATTAATTGATTTTTAAATGCTGAACCAGCCTGGCATATCTGGGATAAATTCCACTTGGTCATGGTGTATAATTTTTTAACACTTTATTGGATTGGATTTGCTAGTATTCTGTTGAGGATTTTTGCATCTATGTTCATGAAAGATATTGATCTGCGATTTTCTTTTCTTGCAATGTCTTTGTCTGGTTTTGGTATTAGAGTAATGCTGGCCTCACAAAATGAGTCAGGAAGTATTCCTTCTGCTTCTATCCTCCAAAAGAGATTATAGATAATTGGTATAATGTCTTCCTTATATGTTTGGTAGAATTCACCAGCAAATACATCTGGGCCTAGTGCTTTCTGTTTGGAAAAGTTATTAATTATTGATTCAAATTTTAAAATAGATATAGGCCTATTCAGATGGTCTATTTCTTCTTGTGTGAGTTTTGGCAGATTGTGTCTTTCAAGGACTTGCTCCATTTCATCTAGGTTATCAAATATGTGAGCATACAGTTGTTCAGAGCATTCCTTTATTATCCTCCTAATGTCCATGGGATCTGTAGTGATGTCCACTCTTTCATTTCTGATATTAGCAATTTATGTTCTTTCTCTTTTTGCTTAGTTAGCCTGGTTAGAGGTTTATTGATTTTATTAATCTTTTCAAATAATCAGCTTTTGACTTTGTTGATTGTCTCTATTGAGTTCCTATTTTCAACTTCATTGATTCCTGCTCTAATTCTTATTTCTTTTCTTCTGCTTACTTTGTATCTAATTTGCTCTTCTTTTACTAGTTTCCTAAGGTGAAAAGTTAGATTATTGATTTTAGATCTTTCTTCTTTTCTAACAGATGCACTCAATGCTAGAAATTTTCATCTAGGCACTGCTTTCACTGCACCCCACAAATGTTGACAAGTTGTGTTTTCATTTCATTTAGTTAAAAATATTTTTAAAATTTTTCCAGAGATTTCTTCTTTGACTCATGTTATTTAGAAGTACATTGTCTGCATTTTGAGATTTTCCTATTATCTTTCTGGTGTTGATTTCTGTTTAATTATACTGTGATCTACAAGCAGACACTGTATTATTTCCATTCTTTTAAATTTGTTAAGGTGTGTTTTATGCTCAGAATGTGGAGTGGACTATTTTGGTGAGTGTTCCATATGGACTTAGAAGAATGTGTTTTCTGCTGTTGTTAAATGAAGTAGTCTATGTATGTCAATTATTGTTTGATGATTGATGGTGTTGAAATCAGTTATGTCCTCACTGATTTTCTGCCTGCTGGATATGTCCATTTCCAATAAAGGTGTGTTAATCTCTATCTATAATAGTGGATTTATCTATTTCTCCCTGCAGTTCTATCAGGTTTTGCCTCATGTAGTTTGATGTTCTGTTAAATGCATACACATTAAGGACTGTTAGGTATTCTTGGGGAATTGACCCCTTTGTTTCTATGTAATGCTCTTCTTTATCATTGATAACTTTCCTTGCTATAAAGTCTGTTCTGTCTGGAATAAATACACAGTTGTTACTCTTCCTTTCTTTTCATTACTGTTAGCAGGGTACATTTTTTTCCATATACTTTCTTTTATTTATATTAATTTGTCTTCACATTTCAAATGGGTTTCTTGTAAAAAACAGATAGTTGAATCATTTTTAAAAATCTACTCTGACCATCTCTGTCTTTTAATCGGTGCATTTAGACCACTGACATTCAAAGTGGTTATTGATATAGTTGAGTTATCTACCATATGTGTTATCGTTTTTTGTTTGGTGCCTTTGTTCTTTGTTGCTATTGTTATCTTCCACTTTTTCATCCACTTCCAGCATTTCTTTTTGGTTTTAATTGAGCATTTTATCTGATTACATTTTCTCTCCTGTCTTAGCATATCAGCTATATTTCTTTTTTAACTTATTTTAGTGGTTGCCTTAGAGTTTGCAATTAACATTTACAATGAATCCAAGTCCACTTTCAAATATCACAATGCCACTTCACAGGTAGTATGAGTACCTTATAATTACAAAATGATACTAATTTTTCCTCTTTTTCATCCCTTGTACCATTGCTGTCATTCATCTCACTTATATATAAGCGTCTGTGTGTGTGTGTGTGTGTAATATACCTAAGTATATGTGATCAAGTACATTACTATTGTTTTGATATTATTATTTTGAATAAACTGTTATCCACTAGATCAATCAAGAATAAGAAAAATAAAAGTTTTAATTTTACCTTCACTCATTCCTTCTTCAGTGTTCTTCCTTTCTTTATGTAGACCCAACTTTCTGACCTATATTACTTTCTTTATCTCTAAAGAACTTCTTTTAACATTTCTTGCAAGGCCTACTGGCAACAAACTTTCCACATTTTTGTTTGCCCAAGAAAATCTTCCTTTCTCCTTCGCTTCTGAACGTTAATTTTTGTGGGGTACAGAATTCTAGGTTGGTTGGGTTTTTTTCTCTCAACACTTTAAATGTTTCATTCCTCTCTTTTCTTGCTTGCATGGTTTCTGAGAAGAAGTCAGATATAATTCTTATCTTTGTTCCTCTGTAAGTAAGGTGTTTTTCCTTGGCTTCTTTCAGAATTTTTTTATTTTTGATTTTTCTGTAATTTGAAAATGATATTTCTGGTTGCAGTTGTTTTAGTTTTTTTGTTTTCTGTTTGTTTTGCATGTATCCTGTCTGGTTTTCCGAGCTTCCTGGATCTGTGGTTTGGTGTCTGACATCAATTTGAGGAAATTCTCAGTCATTATTTTTTCACCTATTTCTTTCTTTTCTTTCTCTCTTTCTGGTATCTCCATTACACATATGTTTCACCTTTTGTAGTTGTCCCACAGTCCTCGGATATTCTGGGTTTTTTTTTCAGTCTTTGTTCTGTTTGCTTTTCAGTTTGGGAGGATTCTACTAACATTTCCTCAAGCTCAGAGATTCTTTACTCAGCCATGTCCAGTCTACTAATAAGCCCATCAAAGGCATTCTTTGTTTCCATCACAGTGTTTTTGATATCTAGCATTTCTTTTTGGCTCTTTCTTAGGATTTCCATCTTTCTGCTTACATTGCCCATTTTTTTGTGCATGCTGAATATTTCCTCCATTAGAGCCCTTAGCATATTAATCATAGTTGTTTTAAATCCACCGTTTGTGAACCCCAACATTCCTGTCATGTCTGCTTCTGATGCTTTCTCTGTATCTTCAAATTTGTGTTTTTTGCCTTTTAATATCTCTTGTAGTTTCTTCTTGATAACTGGACAAGGTGTACCAGGTAAAGGGAACTGCTGTAAGGAGGCTTTTGGTAATGTTGTGGTGCCACGCAGGGGAAGGAGAAGCACTCTGTAGCCCTAAGAGTGGGTCTCAGTCTTTTAGTGAGCCTGAGCCTCTGCACTGTGAGCTTCACAAGTGCTTCTCAGCTTTGTTTTGTTTCCCTTCACTCTCTTAGGTGGTACAGGATGGCTAGAGGGGGCAGGAGTTGGGTGCTTCCCTTCCTCCGAGTCAGTTGGGCTCTGATAATACCCCAGCAGTTTTGGCTGTGGTTAGCAAGTTTCCCTGGGGGACAGACCATGTTAAGGACGGACTGCTCCAGCATAATTCAAAATGGCTCATTCTCCTCCCCCTGCCAGAAGCACAAGGGGATTTTTATGTGAGAAAAATGTTTCCTGTGAGAACCTGGTAGAGCTTCTGGAGGCAAAACTCACAAAAGTATGGAGGCCCCCCATGACTGGGTGCCCCTAGAGCTTTTACCTCTACAGTTGGCCACACTGAGGCTGCAGCAATTCATCAATTACAGTCAGGTTCTCTTACACCTTCCCCAACCCCTGTCTTGTTTCCCTTGGTGGTTTCCACCTGTGTATCTCCACTCAGGTAAGCCGTGACTCTCTTTACTTTTCTGTCTCTCTATATTGAGAGCAGCAGTTTGCCCTGTGACCTTACTTCTCTTATGGATCCCTGAAGAGTTCTTGATTTTTCAGTCTGTTCAGTTTTTTACTCATTGTTAGGACAGATTGGTGACTTCCGAACTCCTTACACGCAGAACCAGAAACTGAAAGTCCCCCCAAAGGCTTTTCAAGGGGTTACTGAAGTTTTTAGACCAGCGATGGTTGTGGACAAGCAGTCCTCTCCGGACGGGGCCTCAGCCAATCTCTGACTTAGGAGCTAAGTGCTTGCCTGGCTGCTCTGTGTCTGAGCAGCAATCGAGAAGTGACTGCCATCCACTATCAAAGAAAG
This sequence comes from Homo sapiens, assembly GCF_000001405.40. Classification (NCBI taxonomy): domain Eukaryota; kingdom Metazoa; phylum Chordata; class Mammalia; order Primates; family Hominidae; genus Homo; species Homo sapiens. The sequence goes on from NC_000001.11 coordinate 223,241,841, forward strand.
GAGTGCCTTTCAGAGTCCTGGAAATTTGTTCCTTAGTCTTCTTGGGGAAGACAATCCTACCACCTCCCCTTTACGGTGGCCTGGGAAGCTAGTAATAATTAGAGTATGTATGTATGTATGAGACAGGGTCTTGCTCTGTCACCCAGGCTGGAATGCACTGGCATGATCATGGCTCACTGCAGCCTCAACCTCCTGGGCTCAAGTGATCCTCTGACCTCAGCCTCCCAAGTAGCTGGGATTACAAGCACACATCATTATGCCCAGCTAATTTTTGTATTTTTTTGTAGAGACAGGGTTTCACCATGATGCTCAGGCTGGTCTTGAACTCCTAGGCTCAAGAGATCCACCCACCTTGGCCTCCCAAAGTGCTGGGATTACAGGCATGAACCACTGAACCCAGCCAAAATTAGACTTCTTTCTTAATATTATGCAGCATCTCAATGAACCCAGAAAAAGTAAGCATAAGGGTTTTTGCCTGCAGAGCCTCTCCAGTGTTGTGGCATTTGGGCCAGGCACTCATTTCTTGAGTGGGACAGTCTGGTGTCTGGCATGCTGTGGGGGTTTAACAACACCTCTGCCTGTCCAAGAAATAAGAGCAGCATCTCCAAGCCATTGGAACAACCCCAACTCCTCCACTGCCCCACCCTTGCCATGCTCCCAATGTCCCTGGAATCACCCCTTGGAATTTCTACTTGTCCCTCACTTTCATCCCTGGCCCAGGCCCATCCCTGTCCACGTGGCAGGATGCCTGATAGTGACTGGGAGGCAGATGAGTCAGGGTTTGAAGCCCAGCTCTGCTACTCGTTGGCTGAATAACCACAGGCATGTTAGTTACTCCCCTCACTCAGTTTCCCCATCTGTCCGATGAAGAAAATAATACCCGCTCACTAGAGCTGTTGTGAGGGCTGTATGAGCTAAGGGCCTGGGCCAGTGGCTTGCTAAGGGAGGCTCACATCAGGTACCAATATTGGTTTGTTTTCTGGGATGGGGATCCATGACTCTGGCCCTGCCACAGGGTGAAGTCGCTGGAGAGTGTGGGGAAAAGAAAGCATCTGCCAGTTGTCTGAGTCCCCAAATTCCTCACGTCCCACTTGTAGGTTAGGCAAAAGTGTCTACCCTGCTGCTTCTCTGTCTCATTAGAGATGCGACTGAAGGCAGATCCTCTCCTCATCCCATGGTGTGGTCCAATTAAGCGTGTGAGCTGGAAAAGTGTCCCCCTGGCCAGATGCTCCCCATGATGGGCAGCCGGGTGACAGTGGCCACAGGGAGCCCTGTGGCTCCAGGCTCCAGGCTCCTCCCTGGAGCACATCAGCCAGCTCTGTGGCCATTCCCACATGGAGACACCACAGGACCTTCTCAGGGAGACAGAAGCTGCCTCGCTCCAGGGAGGCCTGCGATGCACATCTGCCCCACGGGTTTAAGGAAGCAGGGCTGGGCTGCCCGCCTTGCCCTGGATGACCCTGGCTGTCTTCTTCTGGGAGATGAACTACACCATCCTTTGGAGAGATGGGGCTTCCTGGGGACACAGTCACCCAGCCTCCCTGCGCACTGGCAGGGGACTCAGAGCCACCTTCTCCCACTGAAGTCACCCTTCCATCTGTCCAGCTCTGATTTTTTTCTGCAGGTGACTCCCTGCCCCTTTTGGTGAATGCTGTTCACAGCACTGAGGGTGGGTGGCTCAGAGGGCCCCCAGGGCCAGGCAGCAAAGGCCACCTTGTGATTTGGGGGTGTCAGCCGCAGAAGCCCATGCTGTCTCCACTACCAGCATGTGGCTGGAGCATTTTCATTTGCTTACAGGCAAATAAATCTCAAACCACTTCCCGCCTGTCTTTAGGTACATCCAGGCCCCCATCGGCACTGTCTGAGCTCAGGGAAGGGCAACTAATCCTATTGCCCAAAGCACAATGAAGCTAGAAAGCAAGCCTGATGCACTAAGTGGAAAGAAAGAAAGAATTCCTCCATCGTCTCTTCCTGCTTTGCGTTATCAGCACTATGGCACCTCCTCCAGCATAGATAAGGGAGACTATTATGTTTGGACAATCTGCATTTTGGACTTTCTGAAATAAGAGCCTCTTTATTCTGTTACCTAAGTATAGTAATTATGTTCTTTCACTCATTTTAAAATTCACTTATTTAACAAATATTTTTTGGACAACCACTGATACTACCTTGGTCCCATCCTCAGATGATAAATAAGTAAACGCATAGATATTTATGTGGCTGGATAGGCCTTCTCCTCTAGCTGCTGAGAAAAACATTAATAGCACAATCTCACACACACAGGAGTTGGGATGGAGCTCTCGGGCACCACATCTCCCACCGGGGTTTGGAAGGCACCTGGACCAAAAGGAGGTAGATGTTCTTTTATGCACAGTAAGATCCAAAGCATATGCTGGTACTAGCAGGGGATTAGACAACCAGGAGTCAGAAGGTTTAAAAAACTAAAGGCCAGCCCACCTTGCTTCCTCTGCAATGGAGATGGGCCAGAGAGAACAGCTGCCATGTGCACCCTATGTGGGAGAAACTGAGGAGTCTCCAGACACAAGAGGAGGCCAGGAAAAGGGCCCGGGTCTAGGAAAGGTGAGAGGTGAGACTTCAAGGGGCCAGTGCAGCTGGGGAGCAATGGAAAAGACAAAATAAACAGGAAGAAGGAGAGTCTGTGGATGGAACAGTCTCTATCAAGAGAGGGCAGGTCACGTGGGGATGTCTCATGGTCTTGGTCCCTCAGTGTAGATAATGCAGGGACCCTGCTGAGTCTCCAACCCCACCCTGATGCTACAGATTGGATTCTACCACTGAGAACTGGTGACTAAAATCTGCTTGAGTCTTGGTGTAGGCTCAGGTGTTGTTTTCTGATACAGGGTGGTAGGGAGCTGCTCTGTCCCCGCAATCATAGGCAGGTGCCCAAAGTACCTTCAGCAGGGAATATGGGTGGTCAGAGAGGTGGAAGAAATTACTCATCAGCTAAGCAACAGACTGATTTCAAGATAAGAAACTGCTCACGTTACATCTAATCACAAATTCTCTGTGCCACACTGGAGACCAATAGGAGGTACAGAAGAGAGACTAACAGCACTGGGTGTGTGTGCAAGAATCTGCTTTAGATGAGCTGTCCAGGAAAGTCCCCTAAATAGATGACTTTTAAACTGAAATCTAGAACAGCCCTATTCACAGTGGGGTCCATAGACCACTGGTGCACCCTACTGGTGCACCAACTGTTGGCTACAAATCCATGACAAATAAATAGAGAAATCAATCTGACCTTGTCACAACATCCATGTGTTTTCAATTTCTATTTTGATAGATACTTTCAATATCTAAATTGCATTTAAATAATGCAATTTGACTACAGTTGAATCTGATAGTTAAAAATGGGACTTGTATTATGTGTTTGTCTTTTTATTTTATCTAGTATCTGTTTTTATTGTGTATTATTGGTCTGCAACGTATTAGAAAACAGTAACCAAATCACTGGTCCCTTCACTACAGAGAGATGAGAGGCCCTAATCCGATCATAAATGCATACAGGAATGCACGATGCATAAAAACTAGGAAGGACTCGGTCCAGGAAGTGCTGGAGGAGGATGTGCCTGGCAGAGAGGATGGCACATGTGAAGGTGGGCTGGAGGCAGTGAAGAGAGGCCGATGGTGGCTGAGTGTGCAGGAGACAGAGGGCTACACAGCACGAGGGATGGGAGGCAGGCGGGACACTGTGTGTGCAGCTGCATGGAACCACGGCAAGTAGTTGGGATTTTATCATAGTGTGAAGGGACACTGCAAAGAGTGGGAACTGGCATATTTCTTAAAAGCTAGCTGGGTGGAGAACAGGCTGTTAGAGAGCAGGGATAGACATGGCAGGACTGCCAGGAAGTGGCTACCATGCCTGGAGAGATGATGGCGGCCTGGACCAGGACAGTGGCAGCCAATGTGGTGGGAAGAAGAGTGACTTGAATGTTATTCCTCTGTTTCTAAATAGGGCTTGGTGATTAGGCGGCTAGGAGAAAAAGAAGGATAACTCCCAGATTTCTGACCTGGCTCGATTGTGGTACTACTGACTATGCTAGGTTTTTGTTGGGTTTATTTGTTTCATGGCAAGGGAGTGGTACAGAGCTTGGTTTTGCACTGGTCGGGTTTGAGCTTCCAGTGGGAAAGTCATCCAGGTCAGTTAGGCAGCCAGAGAAAGAGTCTGGGATAAATGCAGAACTCAGGAATCATGAGCATAGAAATAATCTTTACAGCCACGGGACTGCACGCACTCACATAAGGGGAGAGGGCAGACAGAAAAGGGAACGGGACCCAGTCCAAATGCTGAGACACCCTACAGGGACGAAAAAGATGGCAGAGGAGACTAGGGCGCATCATGGAAGCCGCGAGGGGAGACTGTCCCAAGGAAGAGGGAGCAGCTCCTCACAAGCTGAGAAGGATGGAAAAAGAAGAGTGGCCATTGGATTTGGCCAAATGGGAGTCAGTAGAGACCCTAAGAAAAGCAGCTTTGATACAGTGGCAGAGGGGAAGCCATTCTGCAGTGAGTTGGGGAGTAAAAGGGGATGGAAACCTCAGGTGACTCTTTAGAGAAGTTTGCTGCAGGGAAGCAGTAAAGCAGAGGCCGGAGGGTCCAGGGAGAGCCCCGCCCCCACCCCAGAGCTCTTGATCTTGTTAAGACGTTGGCAGGAGTGGTTCAACACAGGGTACAAGGTTGGTAATCCAGGCAGGAGGGCAGTCATTCAGGAGGAGAAAGATGTGATCTTCCACATGAGTGGAAGGAGGGGCTGGCCTCTGACAGGCGTAGGAGGGGCTGGAGGGAAGCATGAGTGCTGGACACAGGCCTCAGCAGATCGGTGGCCAGGGTGGTGGAGATGTGAGTAAGCTGCCCTCTGAAGGCTCCCCTTTTCCGAATGAAGTGTGAGGCAAGGCCACCACTCAGAGGTGGGAGGGGGGCTGAGATGAGAACTATGTATCACTTATCACAGTCCTTAACCAATTTATATGTTTCATTACATGCAAAATAATAAAATGAGGCTTAAAACCAGTGTGTGCCTTGCAACTATCCATACAAATAACTCCAGGGCATGGGGCAGGGGAAGCAGAAGAATGTAGAATATTTTAACTTACTAAATGAATATTTAGAATGTACAATGAATGAATACTAATGTAGTATTATAGAATATTTTAACCTACTAAATCCTTCTGAGCCACTGAGCCCAGGTGCTTTGACTGAGTATTTTCATTCTTACTAGTTCCAAAGGTCCATACAGCCCCCCGGGTGTTCTTCATGTAGGAAAGACTTGCTCCTTTAGTCTGTGCATTCACATCTACCCCACACAGCTCGTGGGAGAGGCTGCTGGTTGCTCACCATAACCCATGTTCCACGAGCACCCAGCTGGTCCACATTGCCCACTGTCCCTTGTTTCTCTAAGTTCTAGCCAATGGAATATGAAGAGAAATGATAACTACTACTTTCACGCTTGATCCATGAAGCCTTCCCATGCTTCTCTGGCTGCCTAGAATGGAAATGATCTCCTAGGGGACCTCAGAAGCCCACCCTGAAGCCAGCAGAGCTTCCACTGGCCCCTGAATGACTGGGTGGAGAAGAGGCACTGGCGGATCAATATTCACTCAATGCCACTAGGTGAAAATAAACTTCTATTTTGTTTGAGCCATCATCCCTTTTTGGTAACCTTCTTACAGCAGCGGTCTACCATATACAGTTGGTATAAGGAAGAAATAACAGATGTGAATCTGCTTTGTGAAACAGCAGAACATGCATGCTCCAGATGTTTGTTGCTATTATTACTGTCACACCTCTTTCTGCCATGTTAGTGCTGCATTTGAAGAGTGTAATAATGAGTTAAGCCACTGGTTCCTCAACCCTGGCTGCACAGAATCACCTGGGGAGCTTTGCCTAATTGGTCTGGAGGGGGTCCTGGGCTTGGATGGGTCTTAAAGCCCTGGGGTGATTCTAACGGGTAGACAAAGTTGAGAAGCACCGTCCCCACAGTTGCAATGGTCAGGAGACCCCCTCCATCCCCTACGTGCTAAGGATGGATGGTTTACAACATTCAGTGGAGCCAGTATGCAAATTAAATTGTCATGGTATCTGGTCTGGGTCTTCACCTTTCACCGGACTCTTGCTATATGAATTGCAGTCCATGGACTGTCCATTTTGGGATCAACTAAGTGCTTATTAGAAATTGGTACTCTCTAGCAACACCTACTCAATCAGAAACTTTATTTCAGCAAGATTCCCAGGTGATTCACATGCACAGTGCAGTTTGGGAAGTGAAGTGCTGTTCCAGATCATGAGGAAACTCTGTAGCTGAGCTCAGTAGTAAAGCTGACTCTTAATGCTACGGTCTCAAGTCTCAAGTTGGCCTTGAGGAGCGTGGAGAAGTGGCAGGAAAGCCAGTGAGCCTGTATACTGAGTGCAAAGGCATCGCATCAAGACAGCCCAGCATGTTGTCTATGTGGCTCTGAGAGGGAACAGGAAGACAGGGACTCTGCTCCCATATTGTACAGAACCACCCAACCTCTGCCTGCAGGAGTTCTGCTGAATTCTAATCATCAAAACTGCCATTGCACCAGCCATCCCCAGTCTGATCTAAATTTGGGTAATGATTCCAGGAAGTTGCACGGAACCCTCTGTACCAAAGTCCTGGCCATCTCCATGACTACGTCTGAAACTTTGCTTTTAGCTCAGGGAAAATCAATAAACATTATACAGCACATTACATTTTCCACTTGTGTTTTGTTGTAACAACACAGAAGGCCAACACATGTGTCTACTGAAGGAAGCCAATGATCATGAGGCTGGGGCTTTGCTTGTTTGTGAGCAGGATGGAGCATGGTGTTTACCTACTCAGAGATGTGCTGACAGATCAAATTTAAGATCAATAGTACCCAGCAGCGCTGAGGGAGGGGCTCTCACCTGCTTTCCATCTCTGAGTCACTACGTTAGGATGTCCCTGAAGGAATACAAAATGCATGTGATGACAACTGTGAAACTTCACTGAAAAAAAAAAATGGCTTCACATAAGAAATCTGAAGTGTGCCTAGTTTCGAAGCCACAAGGAAGCCACAGAGGAGCACACAGGTGAGGGAGCAGGTGCAAACCCGTGATTTCCTCTGACAGCAGCGGGGAATGGCTGGTGCTGAAATCAAAAGCTGACACGTGTTTCTGTGTTCTGATGAGGTTGCTTGCTTTCTTTGCATTGATAGGAGCCACAGTGGCTACACTGAGGTCAGTCTTCACCACCACAAGGTGAAAATAAATCACAAGACATCTGTGGCGTCAGAGTGTTTTGACGTCTGTGAACATTTTCCAATACATGATCCCCCTACAGTCAGGACTCCTAAAGGTAATTGGGGCATCTGAATTTTTTGTAAGGGAAGGAAATCAGGGGCACAAGATTAAAATGGAGCGTGTGTCCCACCATGTAACCCAGGAAGCCCACAGGTAAGGGAGCATTTAGAGTGGATCATTTCTGACCCTCTCTGCAATCAGCAAACCCGTCTATTATCAGAGATGACACTGAAGTTAAATGTTGCTAGTGTATCCACATACTGGACCAAAGTGCCACACAGACACACATACATTCATGTATACAATTTTCTGAGCCTCCAGTCTTCCTCCCATAAATTTTTAGGAAAATCCTTAGTGCCTTCTCATTCTTGTCTATTAGCAAGTCCTAATAGATGAGGAAATACATAATTGAGTAGTGAGTTAAGAAGAGGAGGAAGCAATTGGTCATGCTTTGTTCCTAGCTATGCTTCAGTGTATGTGTGTATGCACTTATGGGTTCTATATTATAGTTAGTTCTATAATAAGTTTATATTATCCATAGAAAATAAACAGCCACAGTTTCCACTAGCAAAGGTAATTCTAAAGTTTACATGATAGAATTTTATCAGTATTTCTTAGTGTTCTGCAAAAAACATAAAACAAAAAATGCATGCTATTCTGTGAAAGGCACCATGCTTTTCTGACATCTGAACAAATTTAAGAAACACTGGCTTAGAAGACATGGACAGTGAAAAGAGAGGAAGAAAGGGAAAAGTCAGCTAGGAGAACAGAATAGGAGAAAGTGTGAGGGTGAGAATGTGAGAAAGGACAGGCTAAGAAGACATAAGAAAATCAGTGGATTAATGAGAGACTCTAGAGAGGCAGCTTTGCACTGCCTCTAGTGCAAAGGTGCAAGAGTGCAAAGGTGCACTTTCCTGGGTTCACATCCTGGCTCAAACACTTAGTGGCCATGACCTTGGGCATTTTACTTTCTCATCTTATTTTCATTTTCATTCATTTTACTTTCATTTCTTTCTGAGCTTTGGTTTCCATCATCTGTCAACAGAAATAGTAATACCTACATTGCAGGAAATTTATAAGAATTAGAAATAATATCCGTAAATCACCAAGCACAAAGTGCCTGGCACAAAAGGAAATGCTCAATAAAAAGAGACAGTGACTATTACTAGCTACATTACAGGCCAGTGAGATGAAATGAGAGCAGTAATGACATTTCACAAGAACGTACTATGAGGCAACATATGCACATTATGTCACTCAATCCTAACAACAATTTTGCAGAGCAGGTGTTGCTATTGCCTCATTTGCAAAGATAAGGGAATTGAGGCTGAGAAAGATGAAGTTATTTGCCCAAGGTCATCTAGCAAACTAACAGCGAGCTGGGACAGGACCTTATGTGCTGCTGACTCCAAAGCTGCCATATCTTACTGAGTCATGCCATGGGGTTTTAAGTGAACACAGGAGAAAGGGAGCATAGTGCCTCCCAACAGCCAAGTGGAAGAGCAACGATTTCATTATCTGCTAAGACATGTATTATGCACAATGGGGTTAGAGTTCGGAAAAGCCTTGAGGCCTCCAGAGCTAGAGGAAAAGAGAGCTGGAGGAACCCTGACAGATACAGGGAAGCCTCTGTTTGGCTCAGCTGGCATAAGCAGGGTGCGGTGTACCGGGCTAGAGGCAAGGTTAGCTCAGGAAGGGGCTGTGGGCAGGCCAAAGGATGCTGGCCAACTGGGGTTTGGGAAGATTCGAAGACAGCCCTTTAAACCTGGGAGCAAGAGCTAGAGGGAAGATGGAAGGGAGTTTGCTTCTTCCAAAGCTAAGGCAGGGAGAGCATGTGCAGTGGATCGAATTGGGTATCCCCCAGATTCTTACACTGAAATCCTGGTACCTGTGAATGTGGGCCTATTTGGAAATAGGGTAACTGCAGATGTAATTAAATTGAGGTCATATTATAGTAGGGTGGGCCCTTAATCCAATATGACTGTTATGTTAGTCTGTTCATTGTATTGCTATAATAGAATATCCAAGACTGGGTAATTTATAAAGAAAAAAGGTGTAATTGGCTCATGGTTCTGCAGGCTGTACCAGCATGGCTCCATCATCTGCTTCTGGCACAGGCTTCAGGAAGCTTATAATCATGGCAGAAGGCAAAGAAGAACAGGTGTGTCACATGGCAAGAGTGGGTTCCAGACATGGGAGGAAATACCACATGATTTTAAACAACCAGATTTCATGTGAACTCAGAGCAAGAACTCACTCATCACCAAGGGGATGGCACTAAGCCCTTCATGAGGGATCCACCCCCATGATCCAATCACCTCTCACCAGGCCACACCTCCAACACCGGGAATCAAATTTCAACATGAGATTTGGAGGAAATAACATCCAAAACATATCAACTTGTGTCCTTATAAGAAGAAGAGGCAACAAAGGACATGAACTCATCATTTTTTATGGCTGCATAGTATTTCATGGTGTATATGTGCCACATTTTCTTAATCCAGTCTATCATTGTTGGACATTTGGGTTGGTTCCAAGTATTTGCTATTGTGAGTAGTGCCACAATAAACATACGTGTGCATGTGTCTTTATAGCAGCATGATTTATATTCCTTTGGGTACATACCCAGTAATGGGATGGCTGGGTCAAATGGTATTTCTAGTTCTAGGTCCCTGAGGAATTGCCACACTGTCTTCCACAATGGTTGAACTAGTTTACAGTCCCACCAACAGTGTAAAAGTGTTCCTATTTCTCCACATCCTCTCCAGCACCTGTTGTTTCCTGACTTTTTAATGATCGCCATTCTAACTCAGCAAACTATTGCAAGGACAAAAAACCAAACACCGCATGTTCTCACTCACAGGTGGGAATTGAACAATGAGAACACTTGGACACAGGAAGGGGAACATCACACACCAGGGCCTGTTGTGGGGTGGGGGGAGGGGGGAGGGATAGCATTAGGAGATATACCTAATGTAAACGACGAGTTAATGGGTGCAGCACACCAACATGGCACATGTATACATATGTAACAAACCTGCACGTTGTGCACATGTACCCTAGAACTTAAAGTATAATTAAAAAAAAAAAAAAAAAATATATATATATATATATAAAAGAAGAAGAGGCGAGACACACAGAGGGAAGACGGCCATGTGAAGACACAGACATCAAGGGAGAACTCCATGTGATGACCGAGGCAGAGGCTGGAATGAAGCGGCGACAAGCCATCGAACGCCAAGGAATGAGGCAGCAGCTGAAACCAGGTTGGGGATCGTTATGCTCCAGGGACAGTAGAGTCCCCCACAGCTAACTCCAAGGGCCACAGAGTCTTTAAAAATGTCAAGCAGAATGGTAGGCAAAGGTCCCATTGGCATGCTGCTTTAGCCATGGTTGGCTATAGAATTCTTGGCTTCCCAGCTTCCTGAACAAATTAACTTTTCTTCCCAATTCAAAATAATTTCCATCAGAATAATATACTTATAGTATGAAAATACAGACTGATGTAGGCACAGGTGTTTACTTGTGATAGCTTGAACTAAGGACTAGTTTTAAAATATGAATTTCCATATAATTGGCTTTTTTTTTTAAACTCCAGTCATGCTTCCCCTTCTTAAGGCCTGGACCAATGAAATCCCTTCCTAGGAATGGAGAAGACGGGGTCAGAAAATGCATTAGGGGCCGGGCGCAGAGGCTCATGTCTGTAATTCCAGCACTTTGGGAGGCCAAGGCCTGAGGTCAGGAATTTGAGACCAGCCTGGCCAACATGGTAAAAAACCCCATCTCTATTAAAAACACAAAATTAGCCAGGTATGGCAGTGCAGCCTGTAGTACCAGCTAGTTGGGAGGCTGAGACAGGAGAATCGCTTGAACCTGAGAGGCGGAGGTTGCAGTGAGCCGAGATTGCACAATTGCACTCCAGCCTGGGTGAGACAGAGTGAGGCTCCGTTTCCAAAAAAAAAAAAGAAAAAGAAAAAGAAAATTCATTAGGTTGTCATCCATCAAAGAACAAACTGGCCAGAATGTAAACAAAGTCCTGGACTTTTCTTCAGAAGCCACAAGAAAAAAAATGTGCCATGGGATGAAGGCTCTGTCCTCTCTGCACACTCTAACTTTAGAGGATGTGGGCACAGTTCGGAGTCAGGCATTATCTTTTTACAGAACGCAAGCCAAAAACAACAAAAACTTGCTTCAGTACAAAAAAAAAAAGAAAATGATCATGAACATAGGCATGATGGTTACCATTTCTATGAAAAAAATGAATGACATGAGACAAAAAGATAGGAATAGAAAGGTATGACTATTTTACCCACGCATCACTCCAAATGTCTAATTAATTTGGGAGAAAAGGCAGGGAATTACGGCAATGGTTTATGAAGGAAAGTGGAGATGGGGGTGGGAACTGGGGTGGAGAAGGAAGAAAGGAACAACAGAGAGGAATGACCCCAAACACCCTGCCGAATATTGCCGAGTGACTCCCAGCCTGAAAAAGGCCCCTGAAATGACTGCAGGCATTTATTACCTTCTGTGTTCCACCTGACTGCAAGAGGTTTTATTACTATGAAATACAAGTCATCTTACTTCCCAGAGAGGAAAGAAAGAAATAAATCCTGCCTGGAGCAGGGATAGAGAAGATACTCTAGAGTTTAAGGACAAACACTGAGAATCTCCCATTTGTACCGGTCATCTATTTTCTGAGCATAATGAGGTCCCACTCGTGGCATAAGCTAGAGGCTCATACCCCTGGTCACAGCTTTGCTGTTGCTTAGCTCTGCACTTCCTTCAGTAACCTGACATTTAAGCATCACAAAATAAAGACCTCAGCTTGCATGTCTGTGGATTTGCAAAAATAGGAGGGGACTACAGGGCAAAGGAGGATTATATTTTGGTGAGAACTGTGAACTCAGTGAAAGAAAGGGACATGTTCTCCACCCCCTGCTCCAAACAGGGAATCCTGCCAGGCTCATGCAAGCCCCGGGACAGGCGACCTGCCCAGGTGAGAACCATGGATGGGGGCTTGGGTAGAGTTGGGCTTGAGACTGGTGAAATCCCATCTCTGAATGGTGGGGAGAGGGGATTATCTGAGTCCTCCCTTGGGTGATCTCTTCATTTCTTGATTTGGCGGGAGAGGTAGTTCAAACCAATGAAGCTGTCAGCTTTCTTTCCCCTTTGGTGGGAGAAGAATCACCTCTCTTCTTCCTCTGACCTCAGTCTAGATCTCTGCACTTACACGGGATTAAAAAAAAAGAGACAGATAATTATAGGAGTCCAGGAGAGACAGAGGGTTAATGGTTGTGTTTCCACCAAGGCTAAAAGGAAGGCAAGGTGCTGAGACAGGAGCCTGCCAAGGGTCTTAAGCTAGTGAACAGCAGATTCGGAGAGAGAGGATGAGGACCATCTATCATGTTGGGAATCAGAAAACGCAAGAGAAAAAGAGTCTAAAAAGTAATAGCAGGAATGCCTGAAAACTTGGATCTACTTGAAAAAAAGGAATAAGGTCTCTTGGTTTTCTTAAGACAAAAAGATCAGTGTTTCTGGATTTGATATAGGAAAAGAAAAAAGAATAATGAAGCTTCTTGATGCCATGGCACAATCTATCTTGAGTATGAGAGAGATGTGTGACCAAGAAGAGGAGGAAGCTACAGTGGCAATTACTTATTGTAAAAGAAGAAGAGAAAATTAAGCACAGTGATCCTTGAGAATGCTGTATGGCATGCAAGCAGCTATTTTCTGGTAATCACTCTGCTGTAATATATGAACAGTACATGGAAATGATATTAGAATAATTTACTATTGCTGGTGAACAATGAATTAACAGGATTGCTTGCTATTTTGCATTTCCCTCTAATAAAACACCCACCAGGGTCACAGGCAAGGTGATAGTAACACGAACAGCACCAGACACAGGGATTTTCACTGCCAGGGAACAAAATGGCAAAAGGGGATGGTATGTACTAATGTATGTGCCCAGGCCATAGAATTCATTTTCAGTTCACAAAGGGACCTCTGTTTGTTTCAGACAGGGAGAAACACAGGAGGGAAAGGGCATGAGATTTTCTCTTTCCTAGGCCCAGGGAACACACATTCATCTTCAAAGGGAACTGAAGATTCTTTTGAGAATAAGATCTAAAAATCCTGTAAAACTTTGACTGATGTAAGCTGGATTCCTAATTAGGATTATAAATTAGCCATCTACTTACATCCTTGAAGGCTGGGAGTCTAAAGAGGTTGGGGGGTGGGAGGTTTCTATGACCCAAGCCAATCATTTCATTGCTCTGGTCTCAAGTTCCTAAGGAGGCAGAACCCGATGTATGATTTTCATATTTCACGCCAGCAAACTCTTCCTTCAAATAAATCTTGAGTGAGAACATAATATGTAAATATATAAAACAGAGCCATTGGGGCTGGGGGAGCCTGGGTCAAAGTTACCTGGGGCTTCCCAGGGAACTCCCAGGGCCTTAGAGCCTTATGTTCCAGAACCCCTGGCCAAGCATTACCTAACCTTGTATTAGCTAGAGGAGGCGAGGGAAGGGCAGAGCTTAGGGCAAGCAGATTAATCAGAAGCCCTCCCTCTACTGTCCCATGGAAAGAAGCTCCCCTGCTATATCAAGTAAAAAAGGCATTTGCTGCCCTTTTCTTCCTTTTCTGCCGATTAAATTTTATGCTGGGTCCAGCTACTGGCAGGATCACGGATAAGCCTGCAGGGAGCTTGAGGGCCCAGGAGAGGCTAATTGAGACCACGCCTCTGGCCAGCGGGTTTATTCAGAACTGTGGGAGGCTGAGTGGGTATTCAGTGTCCAGGTGGTCACTGCTATTATCATTTACACAGAGGTGCACAAGACTTGAGTCTCTAATAGCAGTGGCCACTTGGCACATTGTACATCCCTGGTTGGCACCAGCGCCTTGCCTGGGAAGGAGGGAGGAAGGGAAGGAAGAAATGGAAATTCCCCCATTGCTCACCATTGTATACAGTGTAGCTTGGGGCAGATCACATGGTATTGCCCTCTCCCTCCTCCAAAGCCTTTTACATGATAAAAATTCAGGTTCCTGAGAACACTAATGGTAAAGAAGTCATCAATGGGTGGCTGTGCAGATTACTCAGGTGGCCGGGCTGGTCTCTCCCACGGAAGGCAGTGCAGTACAGGAGAAAGCACAGCCTAGGAGTCAGGTCAGGGCTGGTTTAGAATCTTGGCTCTGCAGCCTACTCCCTAAGGCCAAGGGGTGTGACCAGGCCTGCTTCCTATCTGAAAATAGAGGACAGTAATACCTGGAGTTGTCTAGAGGCTGACTAAAGATAGCAGGTGATGTGCCTGTTACCAAGATGACCCTCACCACACATCTCTTCCTTTCCTGCCGCTCTCCTCCTGCAGATGACTCCAGGCTCACAGGCTGACTGTATAAACATGAATTTCAGGAAAACTCTGTTAGCCAGCATTGGGGGGAGAAGCTCTCCTAGCACCTCTCCCCTTCATTTTGCCACCTGCCTTCCAGAGCCAGCCAGGGACAGGGCAGCCTCTCTGAGAACAGTGTGAGTTCTGGTTAAGAGCAGAATCAAAGAATCTGACCACCAGGAAGGAGCCTCTAAGATCAACCCTTCCAACTCCTTTCCATTCTGTCTGAGGAAATGGACAGAGCTAGGATTAGAACCCAGATCAAAATTTCCAGCAGGTAGTCTGGGTCTTAGAAGGCCTAGAAGAGTAGTGTCAGTAGAAGGTGTGGGCTCAGGAGGCACAGGGGCCGGTTGCTGTGGACAGAGTGACCTTGGGGAAGGAGCACCGGAGCTGTCTGAACCTCAGTTTCCTCATCTATAGGCTGGCGCCACACTTGCTTCTCGTGACTGTTGTTAGGAGAGATCATGAAATAAACTACCTGCACGGTGCTTGGCATAGAGTAGGCATCCAAAAATGTCAAATGAATCAAAAGAAGTTTTAGTTATAACAGCTGCAACTTGTAGAATATAAAGCATGTGCCGGGGCTAGGAGTGCAGGGAGGAACAAGGTGCTTTCTGCCATGCAGTCAGTTGTTCACAGGAGGAAGAAATTTGAAATATTATTTGTCCCTGTTCAAGAATGTAGATGACGGGCTGGGTGCGGTGGTTCATGCCTGTAGTCCCAGCACCTTGGGAGGCCGAGGTGGGAGGATTGCTTGAGGCCAGGAGTTTGAGACCAGCCTGGGCAAAACAACGAGACCAAGTCTCTACAAAAACATTTTTACAATTAAAAAACAAAAAAAAACATAGGCAAGGAAGGGAGTGAAGATCAAGTGGCATGGGCCTTCCCTACTCAAGGCAGCCTGATGGTGCCAGAGCCCAGGGTGGATGCTGGACCTTGACTGGTGCTCCCAGGCCACCACTGTGGCCAAGCCTGCTACTCTCTGGCACTTCCCATTCATCTCTACAAGGATACACTGGGGTACGGTGGGTTGGCTTAGGAGAAAGGGAAATTGGTGATGCCTAAGCTCTGTATTCTATGACCAGTAATTCAAAATCAGTGGCATGAAATCCCCAATATGACCTTTCTTCTGTCATTTCCCATGTGCTACTTCAAATCCAATGCAGAATAGTTTCAAGTTTATCAGAGGATGGACCCGAGCTCATGCTTTCTTATTGTGGATCACCGGGCAGGGAGCTGAGAGACCCTGCGTCTCCCCCACATGTCTGGGGACAGGTGGCAGGAGGAAGATAGGAACTCCATAGGGAGAATAGAGTGGCCCTGATTCGGGTCTGGGGAAGTGACCGAGGTGACACTGGGCCTCATCATGAACAGTAATTTACGACCTTATTGGGAACGGTATGGACTCCTCTTTATGTCTGAAGTTTCCATTTGTAAAACGGGAGCAGCCTGTCCCAGGGTGGGCCCTCATCACACCCCCTTTGAGTGTCCCCTGCAGCCTGCCTCCAGGATCAGGGTAGACTCTGTCATCCAAGGAGGCCTGGATTCTCTGCTGTGTCTTTCCTGTTCCCTACACAGGATTCACTTTGAAGTTCTGAGGCACTTCTGAGTGAAGGCAGGATTCCTGGAGGGAGAAATCACTTCAGGCGCCTCTTATACCAGGCGCCTCTTGTACCTGAACGTGTTTTGACTCAGGAACAAAGTACACTGCAAATGTAGCTTGAGAGCTGGGGAGCCCTCCACATCCAAGCTGGCTTTGAGTTTTGATCCCAAATTGGAACCTTTCAAGTCATTTCACATTTGGCCAAACAAGGTTCTTCAGTTTCTTATTTTTCCTCCTTTTCTTATAAAAGGATACAGAGCTGAAAGGACCCCTGGGCACTTGTAGGTTCTTAGGAAATCACACTGCTGCATTCCCTGTGATTGAATTGGATGCTGTCTGATGAAAACTACATCTCTGTCCATGTGGGCTCTGAGATGAATGGGGCTGGGGGGAGTCACCTGGGGGCATTCTGGGTTTGGGGACTGGGCAGATTTAAAAACCTAAACTTTCAGATGTTCGGCTTCCAAGGGGGTCGGGTTTACTGGTTCCTGGGAGAAATGGCAGCCACGAGGCTGAAAAAATCTTTTGAAATTGTCAGCATCAGGGAAGCCACTGCCCAAGTCATTACAAATGAAACCTTAGGTACCTGCAGATCCTACAGTGATGTATTCCCCTGTTTCGGAAAAGCAAACAAATGAGCAGACCAGACTCCCTGGGGCCTCTGGGATCATGCTCACTGCTTTCCCTGAAAACCCGGCTGCCTTCTGAAAGCAGACCAGGCATCACGTCTCAGAGCCAACCCCACACAGCAAAGAGTGACTCACCAGCCTGACCCTCCCAGTTCTTTCGAAACCATGGAGACCTTGCCTTAGAACTCCTTCTAGGTGGCCTTCAGTGTAGGTAACAATCTTCTCTACCACGGGAGGCCCTGGATAACTTACAAATGTAATATTTAGAACCTAGCTCTGCCTGCGTGGAGAGTGCAATTTCAGGAATAGCAACACATGCTATGTGAGCCCCAGGGGGACAGAGACTTTGCACAACTCATTTGCCACTGTTTGCACTGGACCTTGCAAAATACTCAGCATATAGGCATAAAAATGTTGGCTGAATGAAACCATACACCTCAGAGGCACTTACGTGAAATAGCATATGACACTGATTTTGGTTTCTTTTAAACTCTAATCTCCCTAAATGTTTGATTGGTCCTTTCTAAACTTGATTCCATCTTTTTATCTAGAGTGTTGTTGAAGGGAGGACTTCTGGATAAAGGATCCAGGATCCTAAGTCCTCTAATTTAGCACTTAGGGCAACAGGAATCTTTAAGTGGATGGCAGCTACAATTAAGGACCCCAAATTCCAAGTTTTTGCTTCCATCGTCTGTTCTTCTGACCCTTGCAACCTGTCTCAAAGAGGCACAGTGCTGTGATCTCTGCTGTTGAAAGAGCTGCCCCCAGAAATTTCTATAACTGGATACCCAGCACCTCTGTGCTGTTTCCAGGCTGTCTGAAAACCTGAATGTGAAGAGAATGTTCCAGATACTAACGGGTTGTGGGTGGTCCTATCCCCTGTAGAGAAGAGCCCTTTCCTGCAACCGCTCATAACCAGCAGCTCTCACAGCCCCAAGCACACAGTGTCTTGGGGATTCTGGGCAGTTAGTGCCTCTTCTTCCTAGACTGCCCCGTGTGTGTCTGTGTCCATCCCTGCAACTATGTGCTACATGGTTGGTTCATTTACTTATTGTTATGCTCCTCAATATCCTTCCATATTCCCACCCTTCAAACCACTGTGCTGGAGCCTCTCACACACACTAGGGCAGGCTGCGTCTATACCGATGAGCTCCACCACACTTCAAAATACACAGTCCTTCCCTAGGAGTGAGATGTTCAGAACTTTCTCTTTCCCCAAGGCTCAAGTGGAGACAGAAAAGACAGAAACATGCTACTATTGGTCTCTGGGGAAAATAAACAAAAATGCCATAAATGCCTGGGTAGAAAATTTCATTTTACAATTGTGATATCATCTCCTGAAACTGTCCTTCTACCCTTTCTAAATGCAGAAGCCCCCGTGTGCCCTTTGGTAAAAGTAGCTGTGTGTGTAGTGGCTGCCATCTGTAATGAGGCTATTCTCTAGGAAATGGACTTTGCCATCTTGTTCTCCCTCTAGACTGTAAACTCTTCAAAAGAAGGAATTATGTCCTTTCCTTTCTTTGTAATTCCCCAGTGCCCAATTCGGTGTTGCTCTGGCCTAGCAGGTGTTCAATAGTCACTGGTGACAACATAAACTGAGTTCTTAGCACTTAACAATGAGAAATTCCCCACATTTATTGTCAGAGCTTTTTTAGTTTTTAAAGATTTCTTGCATTCAATGTGTGCGTGTGTGTGCACGCACATGAAAGAGACAGATGGAGGTGAGGGCCTCAGGGAGGAAGAGAACCCGAGAGTGGAAAGCACTAAGATACACGCAGACAAGGCAAAGCACACAGGCCCACAGCAAGCCAGGGCCCACAGGGACACACAGGGATGCAGGAAGCTCCTTCCAGCTCCAATTTTATACAGTCATTGATTTTAAAACATTACAGCCATCATTCTGGTTCAATGCTTTGAAATTTTGGGTGCTTTATCTGACAACACAGCTATGGGGACCCATATACGCTCCAGAATCTTCCCACTATCCATGAGTGCAATAGTGCAGGCCTTAAAACATGCGACCCACATCTTCGTAGTGGGCTTCCAAACTCTTGCCACCTTTGGTGAGGCTGCCAAAGCGTTTCCTTCCAAATTATCAACTCCTTCATGAAGCCAGGTATCAACTATGAGATTGTTGACATGTCAGTGTGACAGCTGTCACTCAAACACTGACCCTCACAAAGTGCTCTCCACTCCGCTAGGGAGAGGAGGTGCCATGCGGCAGAGACCATGCGCCAAGAGTTGAAGGGTCAGGACAAGTCATGGCATTCTCCAAGGGGTCATGTCCTCATCTGTAAAAGGAGGCCAACAACCTCTGCCTGGCTCACTGGCTGAAGTGGGGTTCCATGGCCACGTGGGAGACTAACGGGCATTGTGGGGCGGCAGCAGTAAGAGCTTGCGGCCACCCAGCGGGCAGCAGAGCCTCTCTGCTGCTGGGATTTCTCAGGGATGATAACTAAACTAGAAAGACAAACTCTTTTCTATGCAATAATTATTTTATTGTTTTGCTTTAAGAAAATGCCTATAAAAGTATCAAATTGCTTTCCCCCTGTTAGATTGTAATCAGAACATGTTAAATAGACAATGTACCTTGGTGATCAAGAACATGAGCTTTGAAGTGACAAAGATCCATGCTATAGTCCCAGCTCCCCCTCTTCCTAGCTGTGACTGAGCAAGTTACTGAACCTTTAGAAGGCTGGGTTTGCTCAGTGGCTAAAGGGGGTCAATAGTACCTGCTTCCAAATGGCATTAAAAGTTAAGATTAAAGGAGACACTGTGTCAAACACTTTGAGCAGTAGCCTGACACCTATGTAGTAAGCTCTCAAAATTAATGGTGGCTGTTCTTATTGTTCAGTATGTCCTCTTGGTATCTGAGTCATCTTACGTAGACACAGCTTAGAATACACAAATAACCAAAATAGCACCTGAACAACCAAAATTGTGTCACAGTGTACATGTCTAAAAGTCTGGAGACCGTATTCACAGAGAGTCATGCTAGGTTCTCTCTTATTTATTGAGATTTTATATAAAACTCTTAGTGCATTAATAACAACAGACAAGTGATTGACCACATACTATGGGCTGGGCACTTCATTAAATGGGTGGATTTGTTATTTCACTGACTCTTCCCAGTCCCACAAGCCAAGTAGGACTCATCACCCCCATTTTACAGAGGAAGAAATGGAGGCTGATAGAGGCTATGTGACTTGCCCCAGGTGAAGTGATTGAGTAGGATGCCAGGATGTGAAGCCAGTCCGTCTGAGGTCAGCTTGCACTGGTAATTGATATGCTATGCTCCCTCCATGACCAGCCTGGTGAACCTTCCTCCTGGCTCACAGCAGGTTAGAAAAGAAATTGGGGGTGAGGGACAGCTGCAGCGACAGGTACCCTGAGTGTGACAGGCACACTGACAGCTGATGGATTGACAGTGAAAGAGGAACGGGAAAGGGACAGAAAACTCAAAGAGAAAGACTTCCACAGCAGAACTGTCCACACCATTACTGCAGGGGTCAGAGAGTTCTAACATATCTAAAAGCCCCTTAGAGCATCATAATTCCACAGCCCAGTGCAATAATTTTCACTATGTCATCAAGAAAAATCAAATTGTGCAAATCGTGTGCTTAGGAAGACAGAAAGATGAGGAGTTAAAAGTGTGGGTGATCTATGAAAAGGGTCGATTCCTTTGTGACAGTTCGTCTATGTTGAATACCCTATGACAACAGTGCATAACTAAGGCACCATCTTTTAAAAAGATGATACACAATTAAAGTGAGAATGAGAGAAATGCAAACCTCTAGGCACATCTGGATAACTTGTTCACGAATCCTTACCTCTTAGTTTAACCCACTGCTTAATTCAACCCAGTTTCTATCAAGTCTTGAAAGAAATAATCCTTTAGTCCCCTCTGTGCCTCTCAGTTTAGAATCACCACTTTGTACCTTTAGCCAGTGTTGCATTGAAAGTGCTCACCAACAAATGCCATCAGACAATTTAAAGGGATGTCTATTGAAAACGGAGATGTAAACCTTATTAAAAAAACAAAAACCCTAGGGAAAAAAGACGCTAAGTGGCCTTCCTGGCACAGGCAGCTGTCAGCCAGGGTTTTCCCATCTACTCATAGTGGAGGATGGCAGAGGAAAGGGGACATGTTAGGCCAGAAGACTCATTTTCAACCCAAAGCCACTCTCGGCTCCCTGTTTTTAACCTTAGATTTTGTTTTATGCCTATCCAATCATATTCTCTAGTCTCCATAAAGACTGCTTACAAGTCCCAAAATAAAGCTTATCAGAACCTGACTGCTTGAAACACATTTAAACCAAATTTGAAAAGATTTGAAAACAGGCATTTCAAATTGATAAAATCGTAACAACGATATCTTTAAAGGGCCCTCTCTGTCTGGTTATCTGAGTAGGGAGAAGCCTCCAGAACTAGGGAAGAGCCCCTTCCATCAGAGGTCCACGGCCTACCAGCAGCATCCAGATAACAGGAAGGCTATTCCCACTGGAAGCAAAAGAGATGACCTTGTCCCTTGAGGCTAGGGCGACCAGATTTAGGAAATAAAAATTCAAGACACTCAGTTATTAATATATTTGAATTTCAGATAAGGAAAGAATAATTTTTTATACTAAGTATGTCCCATATATCGACATGCTCATATTAAAACATTATTTGCTTATCTGAAATTCAAATTTATCTGTGTATCCTGTATTTTATCTGGCATCTCTAGGCTAGGCTCCAATTCCCTGGGGGATTTGCGATGGGTGGGAAGTGGAGTGAGGGGAGTTCTAATGATCAGCCTAGGAGTATGACAAAACCAATGGGAAGGGCTGGCCTTCTGGCTCCCTTCCCTCCTTCCCCCATCCTTCTCCAAAGAGATTCCATGGCTCCAGCCAACCCCACTCCACATCCCTAGAGAGGCCGTCTCTGATCCTTCTGAGCAATAGTCACCCTCCATGACACACGTCCTACCCTGACTTCCTCCCACACAGAGGTGCACACTTGTAGAGATGCTGTAAACTTGTAAGAACTCATTTGTTTCCATATTCCATTGTTTTGCTTTGTTTCCCAAACAAGGCTGCAAATAGGCTTTGAAGCGGCTCCTGACTTGAGGTTTCTTCACTTTTTTCTTTCCCCATATAGACCCCTCCTACCCACTATACTCAGATGCTGAGAAACACATTGGAGCTTGTTCTCTTCGGGCATACTTTCAAGATCTGAGTTAAAGCAAGAGCTGAACCAGCATGTCCAACTTGCCTAGCAGAAGTGTTTACAGGCTTTTCCCCTGCAGACACTGCCTTGACTCCGCCAGTGGAAGCCCTGTCCTTCTCACTACTTCATACTACTGATTAGTGGTCTTTCGTGAATCACAATCTATAGTCATAGAGATTTAATAAAAACAGGGAGGAAAGAGCTCTTGCTTTCAGGCATCCAAGGGTGTGCTTGCAGCAAAACATTTACAGCTAAGCCATAAAGTGCATGGAAATATGGAGGAAACAGCGACACAACAATAAAACGAGGGGTAAGATTAATGACATGATACAATCTGTTCCCATTTGGTGCAGAGAAAATTAATTTTTGAAGACATTTCATTTAACTTTGCAATATTTTGTAATTTAACCTTTAATGTTCGCAACTTTTTCTTTTATCTGCTCTCCTCTTTAAGCCTAAGGATGAGGGAAGCAAGTTTTACATCTAATTGTAAATATGGCTTCACGGCAGCTGATCTCTGCTCTGGAGAAAAGTGAGAAAGATGTATTCAGAGAAGAAAAGTTATTGCCCATCATAATTCACAGCTCTTCCTCCTACTGATCTTCTTCCTCCCTTTAATAATACAAAATACAACTTCCGAAAGAATGAGATGTGTTACCTTCCAGAGCAAGGCACCGGGGTGGGCTGGACGACCAGATAAGGTTTTGTAAGCACTCAAGATACGCAGACCCATCAAGTTTAAATCCGGGAAAGCAGCGATAGGAGATCACAGTCCCCACCGGGAAGGAGGTCTGGAGCTCAGAGATGTTTACATAGCCATTAGAAGAGGCTAGAGGTCTCAGGCAGCCTGTGGAAGGTGAAAGAAAAAGGGAAAGATTCCACTCTGTCATCTCTGTACATCGAAAAGTCACACAGAACACTGGAACTTTTTAGGATTCCCCCACCTCTGAAGGTGAAAATGGCACCACCTCTGAAGAATGAAGCACCTTGGTCTCAAATACTCAGGTTCCTTATTCTAGTTATCATGTAGGTATTTGCTCCGCTATTTGAAAATGGCACCAAGAGGGTCAGAGGAGTAGTTAAGACAGAGGGAGGGTGGTGAATGTCTGACTGTGGATTGTACACCCTCAGGCCACGTGTTCTGGCTCTGACTGCGTTTCAGCATCACCTGAGAAGCTTTTATAAAACACCAGTACCTGGGCCCCATGCCCAGGCTCTGAGGACAGGTTGAGAATCACCGAGGTGCTGTAAGAGGAAAGAGACACCGCCAGTGGTTTCAGTGGTGGTGAGAGCAGCTTCAGAAGCTTAGGTTCCAAACTGAATTCCACTATAGTGGATTTGGGGACAGAAATCTGCCTGAGATGGTGGCCTTAAATTTCTGAAAACCCAGTTGTGTTTTATGTAAAACAGATGAGGAATCCCACAGTGTAGTGGTTCTCAAACTCGAGAATGATCCGGAGGGCTTGTTAGACACAGGCTGCTGGGCCCACCTGCAGAGCTTCTGTTTCAGCAGGTCTGGGGCAGAGGGAGCCTGACAACTGCACTGCCAACATCCAGGCACTGCTGCTGCTGCTGCTGCCACTGCCAGGCTCGGGACCACACTCAGAACCACTGATGTCCTGAGTCTGTGCATCGAGCACAGCATGCTGTGTGCAATAGTGTGGAAGTGGGACCTGGATCCCACACTCCTTCTGTGAAACACTAAGCAGCCTGTTTGCCCTGAAGCCTGTGCAGCCAGTAGAACACTCCTGGTGGCAGAGAATTCTGTTGTGTGTGGCATCCACTGTGATCAGGGCATTTCTTATTGCTTCAGCAGTTTCACTGGAGAGAATAATGACACTGCAGAGCCGGTGTTCTTCCAGGAGAGAACTAATTGTGTGTGAAGTAAATAATGTATAATGAAAATACCCACTTTCCCTTCCAAGTCACCAGATACAGATTGTATGTGTCCCATGCACAGCAGCAGATGACTGAACCCTTCTCCTAAGCTGACTTTGTTGGACATTGTAAGTATCTTGAAGGGATCTCTCAGCAAATTGCTTTGGTTGAAACCCCAGTATATGGTGTCTGTGCATCAGAGCAGGTGAGGGTAAGGCGGGTGCAGAATTTGAGGCACTCACTGTCGTGGTTGGGCAGTGCCAATCCTGCACTGCTGTGTCCTGGGGCCATGCGGCTCTGCAGACCAAGCAGATCATAGCTTTGAATTGGCCAACATTTGGGATGCACCATACCCTAAAAGGTATGGAGCTCAGCCATCTTTGTAGACAGTCCCATAACCTTAGGTTATTATTATTGTTTTCTTGAGCTGAAAACTGACAATGTTTATAGTAAAAGTGAAGTGTATGTGTGTTTATGTGGTGGGGAGGAGGTTGGGGATCAGGAATAAACAGACTCAATAATTGAGAAAAAAAGAGAAGCACATTAACGTGAACAAGTGAGTGCCTTAGAACCCTTAAGTGTAGTTCAAATGAGTTGGCACAAATGATTGTGCTCGCTCTTCTTCCTAGGAAGGAATTGTAGTTCTAAACTACCCACACAGATAAGCTGGTTTCTCTCAAATAAAAACTAACTCTGACTCAGAGTAAGGTTATAATTCATGCAGTTAATCACAGGAGAAGGAAAGATATTCTCACTCTTGGTTAGAGACAGCCTGTCCTAAATGTAACAGTCGAAAATGGGCTTCAACTCAATAGTTCAATGTGATTTCCATTTGCACTTCTAGATAATAGAGAGAGGCCTCCTCAGGCTTTAGCTCCTGGATCTATAGGTGCAAATACAACTTAGAGAATGAAATGTCACTCTTAGGGCCAATTACATTCCCCCTGGGGGCTCAGAGGGGTGTCAGACTGTCCAAGGCAACTTCAGTTCCTCATTTCCTATGGTGTGCCAGGCAAGCAGCCAGTGAGCAACACTGGAGCAGTGGCAGCTCCAGCAGGCAGGACCTATCTTTCTGTGCAGCAAGATGTGGGGTGCACTAGAGGGTAGGGCACAGGCCAGGGCACCCACCCCCTCTGTGGGACAGAGGCCTCTGAGGAGGAGGGAGAGGTGGGCAGGGCTTGCATCGTTTAAAGAAGCATACCTCTGCAGGGTAACCGACTGGCTCTGTTGTTGCAGACCTAGAAAAACTATGTCTTGACTGGGATTTGAGGAAGGGGAGGTGGAGAAGGGGCAACAGTGGCCAGAAAGAGCAGCAGGAAAGCCTGGGTCTAAAGCCTCAAAATGACACTTTGAGAGGCACACCAACACAGGGTATTTCTTTTTCTAATCACTGGGGAAAAAAGAACTCCTAAAGGAGCATCTTGTATTTAAGTGACAGAAAAGGAAACAGAAAGGATGGGAGAACAAAAGGTTATGTGGAAAACAGGAAGGGAAGAAGTGGCTGCAGTCCGGGGTTGTTTTCCTGGCCATCACTCTGATCGTGTCGGAGGACTGAAACGGATCAGCAGGTAATAAAGTTTATTTGAATAAGCAGCCCAACTTAACAGCCAGCTGCTTGTTTTGTAGACACCTGAAAATGTAAATAAATCCTGTCTCCTTTAAAAATGCAACACAGAACATGCTCAGCAACACTGGCAGTTCCTGGGAGAGACCAGGGGAGCGTGATGGTCCGGGCTGCTTTCGTCCTTCTTATGCTCAAGCCTCTCTTCCTTCAAGGGGTCACGACTTTTAAGCTCTCATGTAAGGAAACTATTTATTTCCAAGAACAGGGCACCCAAAGCAATATCAGAGTATGCCAGCTGTGATTTCCAAGCACAAAGTTAACATTCATCTCAGCTTGAGCACGCTGGTGCTTTTGGAGCAAATGAGATTGCTCTCCTTCTCCCTCAAATTATGAATTATGCATTGCCTTCTTGGTTCTTTGGTCGAAGTCACACGTCAAAAAATAAAATCAGAATTACTCTGAACTTGAGGGTTTATTTTCACAAACAGGGCCCTCTATGATGGCCCAGGCAAATCTAAAAAAATGCAAGGGAATAAATATTCACCAGCTTGTTCGGATGAAATTTGAATTTGATAATTTTTCTGCTCTTCATGCATTTTTTATATATATATATATATATATATATATATACACACACACTGTTAAGAGAAAACAGCCTCTGTTAAAGATTGGCTTTAACTATATTTTCACCACTATTGAAATAAGTACAAATGCTCTGTTATTTCCATTAAATATATAATAGTTCATCATTATGTTAGCAGCTCAGTTACAAGTCTCCTGATTCTTAAACTACTTTTGATATTTTGGAGTAAAAGAGACATCCAACATTCCAAGGAATAAGGTGTTTCCTGTTTATCCTTTAAAACTGGGTGTATGGAGCTGAGCAAGCTACAAGGAGTGGTGATGGAGAGTCCAAAAACAGAGCTTTGGCAATTGTAGTAAAGATGCAACTGGATCCATGTGGGGTAGATGGCTTTGTTCATTTCGCCCATCATCTCTATCACTTTATTAGATAAACATGTACACAGTCTACAATAAAGTCCGAGAGAATAATAGCCCAGCTGAGAACTGAAGCATCAGTCCCGTACCTTGACAGATGGGCAGATTATTCCACGTTCCATCATCGCGACATAATGAAACCATATTGTGTAGGTCGGGGTACCGGATCTTGAATCCTTCATGACAAGTGATGATTAGCTTCTCTCCATGTCTATATGTCTTGTTATGAATCTCAGCATCTTCGATTTGAGGGATACGGCAATCTGCAATTTTGTAAAAGGTACACATTATTTTTGGAATTTTAAAACGGTTGTGGTTCACAGCTTCACGAGAAAGCTCTTATTTTCAGACTTGGTCTCAACCTACACAGCAATCTGATAAATGGTACCTCATTTGTCACTAGGCTCAGGTGCCAATGACGAGCAGAAGAGGTGGCTTCACGGGAGTAACGAGAAGGTGGCTCAAAAAGAGGGACCCAGGGCGTGGGGATCCAACCACAAAAAGAACTTTATTTCCTGCCTGTGACACTTCAAACCGTACAGCTGATCTTATGAACAATTTTGGAAATAAGTGGAAAAAGAGAAGTGTTGAGGATTAGCCTGAACTACCTGGTTACATACTTTACTGTGTTTGTGGACAGAACAGAACACAGTGTGGCCTGATGGGCTAGTCTCACAGCTGCCCAGCCATGCCACCTCTGTCTAAGGGTCCCGGCCCTGAGCCTGATAAGAAAATATGCTTTGCAAAACAGCACAGGGGTTGAGCTGTGGCTGTGTTTGCCATTAGCATTTCCTGTCCACCTTATCTGTTTAAAAAGAGATAACAGATAGAGCAGCACACACTACTGCCAATCTCACAAAGGCTCAGAGCAAGCCACTGTGCTGCCTCCTAAAAATGGAGTAAGAGCAAAAGGCACGTTTATAGGAGAAGAGGCAAGGCTGGGGGCTGGGGGAGGAGAATGCCAGTGAAGGAACGACGAGCCCATGCCATGCAGCAAATGATAAGAAGATCAAATAAAATGAACAAGTGATCATTACCCACTTCCAACTGCATCTACTTCCAGTTCACTGTGCAGGCCACGCCACCCCTTGCTGCCAAGTTGGGATCCCACTTCCACCCTAAACACTGCCTAAGTCATCCCATCTGGTTTAAGGCACATTGATCGCAATGTGTCTCTCTCCATCTCTTATGAGCACATGTCTGTTTAATGTTTCTGGTTTTATATGCATACGTGTTTGTAAGCATGACCTACAGATGGGTTATGTTCCAAATTTGTTGATTCTTAACTTTTTAAAACAAGGCAAAAACCAAGAACAGCATTTTGTGAATCATAGAAATTTCCTCCAGAAATTTCTCAACGCTTTAAAAGATTGTAGGTCTCTTATCCATTCCCCAAATCCTACAAAATCCACAATATGGCCAGAATAGTACTAACAGGAACCCTCACCTTTAAGTTGCTCTAAGCTTTGAACTGTCGGCTCTGAGGCACTTGGCCCTGGAAGCCCTGATGTGAGTGGAAGAGAAGGGAAATGCTGTGGCTAGTGGGTGAGTGGGTGACTCTCGTGGCTAGGAACTTTGGTGGCTCGGAAAAGGGCACATCCAGGAGCTAGGAGGTGGGGTTGGGGCTGGGTTTACTGGGAGAAATGGGAAGTATGGCACAACAGACTTCAGAAAATAGGATGTCAATGATGGGAAAGACTCAGGCAGACAGGGGCTTCCAAGTTAGAGGAGAGCTTGGCAGCTGGGGATGCAGGGGTGGTGGCTGTTCACTGCCTGCATGGGTCACCTGAAGTCAAATGCTTGTAAGCCCAGGTCTGCCCTTATCTCAGCCTTTGTCATCACCGTTAGCTTGAGAGCAGGGACTGTGTTGCTCACTTCCTCTGACCCTCCCACCATGCTTCTGACCTGCGCACACACCTGGCGAAAGAGTGCCGAAAGGAGTTCTGTGAACCTCTGCCCAAGCAAGCTGTGAGGGCACAGCCCTCTGGAGCACGGCTAACAGGCTTGGGGCACAGCCCTGCAGCTCAGCCTTCCCTGAGGACACCTGTCATCAGGTCTTCCCTTTGCCCATGATTTCAACAAAGAGAGTCTGGGGTGAAGAACTGTGTTCTGGCTTTGGTTTTACCTTTCATATTTATGTTTCAGGCCGCGAAAAGGGGTTTTCTTTTCCTTTTTGAGACAGAGTCTCACTCTGTCACCCAGGCTGGAGTGCAGTGGCATAATCTCAGCTCACTGCAACCTCCACCTCGCAGGTCCAAGAAATTATTCTGCCTCAGCCTCCCGAGCAGCTGGGACTACAGGTGCATGCCACTGTGCCCAGCTAATTTTGTATTTTTAGTAGAGATGGAGTTTCACCATATCAGCCAGGATGTTCTCGAACTCCTGACCTCATGATCCCTTGGCATCCCAACGTGCTGGGATTACAGGGGTAAGCCACCACGCCCAGCCTGAAAAGGGGTTTTCTAACTGTTCATGTTTAACAAACAGTTTTCCTGCTAGCATAGTTGAGTTCCCCAGAATCAACCCCAATCCCAGAATAATCCTAACTGGGGTCACAAGATCATTGACAATTCTTTGCACACTGCTGCTGCCTTAATAGAAAATGTGAATTACGTTTTTTCAATCGCACTCTACAGAAATTATTCACAGCAAATAAAAACACATTTATCAAGGCATCCGTCTGTAAAATCTTGGCTGTAAATAGGTACTGCGGCAGTAATTTACACATTGAAACAACTATTTTCATGATTGATTTAAAACTTGTTCAGCAATTAGCTGGTATACTCAGGAGGTGACCAGCTATAGAGAATAAAGTCAATGGATAGAAGCGTCCCTTTGGGCATTATGGACACGTGGACATTGGCTGGCTGGGAGCAGAAGCACCCAAGCCTTGTTTCTAAGAGTGATTTCTCAGCATAGTGTTGTGTAATGTAGAACGCTTTCAACTTCTAGTTAGAGCTAAAGTTTCCCCAAACATGGCATGGGGACTATTGCAGAATATAAGACACAGGGTTAGAGGGAATTCACAGCTTCCTGAATCCCAGTGATGATGTGCCCTCCTGAAAGAAGAGTCACCATAGGGAGTGATGCCAGGCCAATTTACTATGTGGGAGGAGCCACATATCAACTAGGGAGTAAGAAGTAGGGTCCAAATCCCAACAAGGGGAAGAGGCCAGGAGGGGCAGTGCCCTAGGAATGAGTACAAAACAAACACAGATCAGCTCTATCAAAAAAGTCAACCTTGACAGAGAAAACATTAACCAGAGCCTTTATGATTTCTTTACCCACAAAGTCTGGCATCTGATCCTCCCCCTAAAGGAGGGTGAAGTAGGAAGAAGGTATCTAGAAAAAAGTATGTGCCCAGTGAGTTCTCTGTAGTAGTGAAAAACCATGGACCTTCTTTCCACAGAAAAAAAGAATCTAGGATCTTTAGTGTCTGACAGTAAATGTCTAATATCCATCAATTCTGAAGTCTCAAACAGAAATAACATAATTTTCTATAGCATAAACTAATCTAGTCAATAGAAAGAATTTTGAAGGCAGGTGGCTCACCCCTATAATCCCAACACTTTGGGAGGCCGAGGTGGGTGGATCACCTGAGGTCAGGAGTTTGAGACCAGCCTGGCCAACATGGTGAAACCCCGTCTCTACTAAAAATATAAAACTTAGCCAGGCGTGGTGGCACATGCCTATAATCCCAGCTACTCGGGAGGCTGAGGCAGGAGAATCGCTTGAACCTGGGAGGTGGGGGTTGCAGTGAGCCAAGATCACACCACTGCACTCTACAAAAATATTCATCAAAATCTGCTTCTGTCCTATTGAATCTGGTCAACAATTAGAACTTACGTGTATGAGGCATAAATAGGCCATTCAGGGTGTAACTTGAAGGATATCAAAGCCTTCCATTCTGGAAATCATCTTTCACCAGCCCAACACTGTCATTATTTCTATATCCTGCTTCTGGTATCAATGGGGATTCAATATAGTGAATAAATAAAAGAAGGAGTAAAAGATCCTAAGGCAGCATTGCATATTTATACCCAAGTACAAATTAATTTATCAGATTAGTTAGCAGAGAGCAGCGCCTAAGGGATGGAGCAGAAATAGTAACAGTAAAAGAAATCTTAAAGAAAATGTGCCATACATAGGATTTACTGTTCTTTAAAAGTTAGTTATACTTGAAAATGAATCCAATTCCTTCAACACACCAAGTTTTGACATTAATACTCCCCCAAAACTGTTCCCAGGAACATGAATACATAATACACGCTCAAGAGATTCACAATCCACAGAGTAGATTAAAGGCTCGAACGGTCTTACTGTAAAGAATTCTACTTAATTTTGTTTAAACCAGCATTTGTCAAGCTTGTTTATTCATCCAGCTGTTCATTCATCCATTTTATGAATTACAGAGCACTCACTCTAGGCTCAGGGTGTCCTGGGTGCTGGGGATAAAGAGTCAAGGGCCTTACTCTTACAGCACTTGCATGGGAGAAGACTGCAAATGGGCAAATTAACAGCTAAAGGTGCTAGAAAGTAGCAGGCAACACTCACTGCCACGATGAACACATAGCAAGGTGACATGATAGGGACTGACTCAGGAACTCTTTTAATTTGGGTAGATAGGAAAGGGGCCCCTGAGGAAATGACATTTATTAAGCTGAGATCTGAATGACAAGAACAATTTAATTATGTATGGGTCTTGGAGAAGAACATGTTAGGCAGTGGCAACAGCTAGTGCAAAGGCCAGGAAAGAGCTTGGTGTCCTTAAAAACACTAAAGAAGACCTGTGTATTTGGAATATAGTGACCAAGAAGGGGAGGGACAGGCCAGATCATGCAGGGCTTTGTAGATTAGGGCAGGGAATTATTTTAGTGTGATAGGGAGTTACTGGGGTTTGTTAAGCATGGGCCAAGGCATGATCTGATTTATATCCTCAAAG
Source organism: Homo sapiens (assembly GCF_000001405.40). Classification (NCBI taxonomy): domain Eukaryota; kingdom Metazoa; phylum Chordata; class Mammalia; order Primates; family Hominidae; genus Homo; species Homo sapiens. Next base: position 223,273,355 of record NC_000001.11, read on the forward strand.
GGTTTCCCATATGTACAGTAAAGGATTAACTTACCCAAGGAGAGGTTTAGGCATTTGCCCTCAGCTCCTGAGAGGTAACCTTTAGCCCCTGGAATGTCTGGCTTGAGATGAGTGTCTTTGTTTGTCTGGGGGCTCTGGGCCACGCTAGACAGATTATGCCAACAGTATGATGTATGGCAGGGGCCTTCGCCATGCCATCTGGTCCATGCTAACATGGATTTTAGTCCATGCTAACATGTGATTTAAGCTTTGGGTCATGGGCCATGCAGTATCGGGTCAACTTCTGGAGGGAGAGGGAACTAAGAAGATCAGCCACACTGTGGTCAGCCATGCCCACGTGACTAAGCCCTGATTAAAACTCTGGACACTAAAGCTTGGTGAGTTTCCCTGGTTGTCAACACTTCGTGTATATTGTCATACATTGTTGCTGGAAAAAAGAGGTGTTGTCCATATAGCCCCACTGGAAGACAACAACTGAAAGCTCATGTCTGGTGACTCCTGAACCCTGCCCTACGCACCTCTTCCCTTGGCTGATTTAATCTATGTGCTTTCATTGTAAAAAGCCTTAGCCATGAGTAGAATAGTTTTCCTGAGTTCTGTGAGTCTGAGTTCCTGAGTCCTAGTGAATTTTTGAACCTGATGGTGGTCTCAGGGAGCCCAGATTTATAGCTGGTATCACAAGTGAGGGGGGTCTTGGGGACTCTGAACTTAGTACCACAGAATGCTTTTTTCACTTACTATCCACTAACATCCCTCAGGAGCACTGTTCCATATCAGTGCCATTCCACCCTTCTGCTGTTCTAAAGAACTGTCATTCCAGCACAGCTCAGAGCACACTGTCCCAACCACCACAATTTACTCAGGATCGGGCTGAAGAAGCTGAATGAAACCAACTGAGACGAATGATTTGACCACCAGCAATTAACGAAAGGCAGAGAAAACGAGGGGCAAAAATCAATGCTCTTCAGAGATGACTGGAGAGAGAGGATGCTTCATAGAACAGGAGGCACCACCATGTGGGATAGTTTTGCTTTGTGAGCAGGGCTGGTCCAGGTTGTTTCTTTCATATTTAAAGGACACTGACTCTTTGAAACCTGAAGAAGAACTAGAACCAGACACTTAAGACCTTTTGGCTTGCAGCTGAAGGTAGTTAGGCCCTGGCTTAAACTCACTGAGAAAAAGCCCCGTGAAAAACAGTTGGTCAAAGAAAAGTTATTATAATAAGCATGCTTCTTGTACTTAGTGTCTTTGTCTGGTGCATAGATTGGAATATTTTATTTATTTGTGGTTGACAAAGGCAATTAGTAGATTCGTATTTCATTATTTAAAACATTCATTTCTATATTTAACGCATTGAGGGCAATTATTTGTGGGTTCTTAGCTATTCACTTGGAGGGACTGAGACTGCTACACATTCTTCTAAGCACACGTGGAACATTTACAAAAAATGACCATACCTGGGCAATAAAGAAAGTCTCAAAAAAATTTCAAAACAACAAAATCATAGAGCTCTTTTTTTTCTGGCCACAATGAAATAAAGATAGAAATGAATAGTTAGAAAATCTCCATATTTTGGGAAACTGAGTAGTACCTTTCTAAACAACCTATGAGTCCAAAAATACTGACTGTTCAGTGCTGTGTACACTGCTATATGTATTTTATTTCATATATTTTTTAAAAGTTAAAACAACAACAATAGAATTAATCCAGAAAGAAGAACAAGGACATCACTGCCTATGTAGCTGTCTTTCCCAGTTCATCTGGAGCCTCTGGGCCTGGCAAGTAGAGAGTGCTTAACGGAATTCTGGGGAGTGAACGACTAAACATATTGGGGGTGGTGCTGAAATTCTCAAAAGCATAAAACCTCAAATATTTGCCAGCAAATTTTCAGAAGACAATTTGACCTCTGAATGTAGGTTATGTAGGTTGTTGGAAAAACTGGGTTTGATTCAGAGTTTTGTCCTAGAAGGCAAATCTAACCTGATTTCTTGCTTTTCTCTTAATAAACCCAATTTTAATTATTTTATCTTTAAAGAAACTTTAAGGTCACTTTCCACCTTCTGGAAAGTTCAACAACAAGGAAGTGACAGAAAGCACTTTAAGGCCAGAGGTGAACTCACAAGAAAAATAAAAGAAGGCATGTCAAATGCCCTTCTCATGGGCTGATGACTTCCAGAGGTTCTACCCCATGTCTCATGCTCTGCTCATAGAGTGCACATGGTAAGCATCTCAAGGAATCCTCTGAGGCTCCACAACATGAGAATCACCTGGAAATGCCTGGTAAATTCCGATTCTTTGTTGCATACAAGCATCTGAGCTTGGGGCCTGGAAATGTGCCTTTTTTTATGGCTCCCAGCCCCCGCCCCCGGCAATTACCATGAAGTCAAACACTGAGAACCACCATGTGATGGGCTATGCAAGGTCAGTCTGCGTGACTGAATAGACTGAAGAATAGCAATCAAAACTCAAAGGCTGGCTTGGAATTTAACAAGCGCTGGCCCATCTCTTAGCAGGTGTCTCAGACAAATGTAATAAAGAAAAACAGAACCTAATCCGCGCAAGCTGGGGCACCAAGGCACACCGAGGCCTCACACTCTTGCAGACCCAGCATGGGGTGCCAAGGAGATCTGAATCAGTAATAGGACTCACAGGATGCTGCCTGAAAGCCTCGGTCAGCCCCCAAACTGCTCAAAGACTGGCATGAGAGAAGATGAATTTCATCTGCAGTGGGTTTGGAAGGACCCGAGTGGGGGTAGGTCTGCATTTTTCATAAGTAGCCAACATAATTCTGGATAGTTTCAGTTGCAAGCTTGTGAAAAACTGCTTTCTGGGGAAATCCCCCCAAGTCAGTTTGGTGTTCAGGGTTGCTAACAGTCACTGTGCGACCTTTATACAGGCTCTGACAAGGATCTGTGTATGTGCTGATGATGTTGTTGTTCTCCATTTGCCTGACAATTCTGGGACTTTGAGCAACTCCCTACCTCCACAGCCCCTGTACAGAAAGAGTGAGGTCTCAGCACTCACGTGTGCAAGACCGCATGAGGCAGCTGGTTCAGGAGTAACAGCTGTCAAGATTTGCACTTACTGGGGGCTTGGTTGCACAGGCTTGAGAACCCTTGTCTGTGGTGGTCCACCTGTCATCTTGCAACCATCATAACTGATCACTTCTGTCACTTATCTTTGCAGGATTTGCCTCGACCTGACCTGATATTATTTCCTATGGATTTTCTTTCCCTTTCAAGTCTGGCCACATTTAAGTTAAATAAATATTTTAGAAAACAAAAACTAAACTCACATGGAAGCCACAAGGGAGCAAGTACAGGATAGCAGTGGCTTCTGTTAACAGCAGCATAAATAAGAAATGACAGTGGTCCTGGGGACAGGTAGAAGCATCCCTCTGCTCCTTCCCTTCTTAGGAGATGGAAAATGAGGACAGAATATCTTGGGGGAAGACATGCAAATACTTGCCCTTGTGGGCACAGGCTGTCATTTCTGATAATCCACATCTAAGGCAATAAGAAAGAAATTTTAGATGATAGAGAATGCACATGAGAAAAAAAAAATCCCAAATAAAATATTTTTAAAGCATCCATCTGTTTTGATGAAGCCTCTGGAGCTAGAAGACAGCTCACTTAACATATAAGTAACTGGAAACATGAGTATGACCACCCCGCTTTTGAAAAATGCCTGCACCCCACAGTTTCAATGAATAAAGGAGTTATCTGCCAATTTTACTGCCAGCTTTAGCTTATGAGTTGAGCTGAATCTTTTAATTAAAAATTTATAACGTAATAATAATACTTAAACTCATATTGCACCTTTTCCCCAGGAAGCTCAAAGAACCTTCTTAACATCAAATTATTCATCTTTTATAGCAATCCCGGTCAGGTCTATGGGAGCCAAAATATTTTAGCGAGTACTTAAAACTAATGCTTGATGAATGGATGATATTTTTTTTTTTTCCTTTTTGCACTCTGCAAGGAACCGAGACAAGGTTAAGCATGGAGACAGAGCAAACTGGAGCTGTGGCAGGAACAGCTCCTCCTCCTGTGCTCTATGCCACCTTTAGCCACAATCAGGTAACCAGGGACCCTGGGACAAAAAGCACAGGTGGAAGGGATCCCTGGCTGCACACTGAAATTACCTTGGATCCCTTGAAAAGAGGTCCCTGGGTGTGCCCAGGCATAGGTTGAAATACCTATGCCTGGGCTCCCACTACCCAGAACAATTAAAATAGAGTCACTTGAAGTGGGTCTCAGGCACTTCTATTTTTAAAAGTTCTGCAAGTGATCCTGACAGGCAGCCTGGGTTGCACACCACCAGGATATAGAAAGAGCACTGGACAAGGAGTCAAGACACTGGTCTAATTCCCAGCTTTCCTGCTGTGTGACTTCTATAAGTCACTAAAGCTCTTATATGGTTCAGTGTCTCCATTTGGAAAATGACAACACTGACATTTCTGATTCTAAGAATTAAACATCTCTAAGGATCTTTGTCGAACACTAGAGAAAATTATGTTATTCTCCCTTCTTACAAAGCAATATCAGACCATATCCCTAAATTAGTGAGTCTCAAACATTTTTATGTGTAAGAATCAGCTGGGAGATTTTTTTTTAAATGCAGATTCCTTGGCCCCACCCTTAGCATTCTAATGCAGGAGGTCTGAATATGTACTTTTCCTAAGTTCTGATGCAGGTAGTCCTTGGCACATACTTTAAGAACCAGTCCCGAGTTCCAAGATGGCTGAATAGGAACAGCTCCGGTCTATGGTTCCCAGCATGAGCGACGCAGAAGACAGAAGATTTCTGCATTTCCATCTGAGGTACCAGGTTCATCACACTGGGGCTTGTCAGACAGTGGGGGTAGGACAGTGGGTGCAGCCCACCGAGTGTGAGCCAAAGCAGGGCGAGGCATCACCTCACCCAGGAAGCACAAGGGGTCAGGGAATTCCCTTTCCTAGCAAAGGGGAGGGGTGACAGATGGCACCTGGAAAATTGGGTCACTCCCATCCTAATACTGCGCTTCTCAAACGGTCTTAGCAAACGGCACACCAGGAGATTATATCCCACGCATGACTGGGAGGGTCCCACACCCACAGAGCCTTGCTCGTTGCTAGCACAGCAGTCTGAGATCGAACTGCAAGGCAGCAGCGAGGCTGGGGGAGGGGTGCCCACCATTGCTGAGGCTTGAGAAGGTAAACAAAGCAGCCTGGAAGCTCGAACTGGGTGGAGCCCACCACTGCTCAAGGAGGCCTGCCTGCCTCTGTAGACTCCACCTTTTGGGGCAGGGCATAGCTGAACAAAAGGCAGCAGAAACCTCTGCAGACTTAAATGTCCCTGTCTGACAGCTTTGAAGAGAGTACTGTGGTTCTCCCAGCACGGAGTTTGAGATCTGAGAACGGACAGACTGCCTCCTCAAGTGGGTCCCTGACCCCCAAGTAGCCTAACTGGGAGGCACCCCCCGAGTAGGGGCAGACTGACACCTCACACGGCTGGGTACCCCTCTGAGACAAAGCTTCCAGAGGAACGATCAGGTAGGAACATTTGCTGTTCAGCAATATTTGCCGTTCTGCAGCCTCCACTGCTGATACCCAGGCAAACAGGGTCTGGAGTAGACCTCCAGCTAACTCCAACAGACCTGTAGCTGTTAGAAGGGTCCTGACTGTTAGAAGGAAAACTAACAAACAGAAAGGACATCCACACCAAAACCCCATCTGTACGTCACCATCATCAAAGACCAAAGGTAGATAAAACCACAAAGATGGGGAAAAAACAGAGCAGAAAAGCTGAAAATTCTAAAAATCAGAGCACCTCTCCCCCTCCAAAGGAACGCAGCTCCTTGCCACCAATGGAACAAAGCTGGATGGAGAATGACTTTGACGAGTTGAGAGAAGAAGGCTTCAGACGATCAAACTTCTCCGAGCTAAAGGAGGAAGTTCAAACCCAATGCAAAGAAGCTAAAAACCTTGAAAAAAGATTAGATGAATGGCTAACTAGAATAACCAGTGTAGAGAAGTCCTTAAATGACCTGATGTTGCTGAAAACCATGGCACAAGAACTACATGACAAATGCACAAGCTTCAGTAGCCGATTCGATCAACTGGAAGAAAGGGTATCAGTGACTGAAGATCAAATGAATGAAATGAAGTGAGAAGAGAAGTTTAGAAAAAGTTAGAAGTTAGAGAAAACAGGGTTAAAGAAACGAACAAAGCCTCCAAGAAATAGGGGACTATGTGCAAAGACCAAATCTACATCTGATTGATGTACCTGAAAGTGATGGGGAGAATGGAACCAAGTTGGAAAACACTCTGCAGGGTATTATCCAGGAGAACTTCCCCATTCTAGCAAGGCAGGCCAACATTCAAATTCAGGAAATACAGAGAATGCCACAAAGATACTCCTCGAGAAGAGCAACTCCAAGACACATAATTGTCAGATTCACTGAAGTTGAAATGAAGGAAAAAATGTTAAGGGCAGCCAGAGAGAAAGGTTAGGTTACCCACAAAGGGAAACCCATCAGACTAACAGCGGATCTCTCGGCAGAAACTATGAGCCAGAAGAGAGTGGGGGCCAATATTCAACATTCTTAAAGAAAAGAATTTTCAACCCGGAATTTCATATCCAGCCAAACTAAGCTTCAAAAGTGAAGGAGAAATAAAATCCTTTACAGACAAGCAAATGCTGAGAGATTTTGTCACCACCAGGCCTGCCCTACAAGAGCTCCTGAAGGAAGCACTAAACATGGAAAGGAACAACCGGTACCAGCCACAGCTAAAACATGAAAAATTGTAAAGACCATCGATGCTAGGAAGAAACTGCATCAACTAATGAGCAAAATAACCAGCTAACATCATAATGACAGGATCAAATTCACACATAACAATATTAACCTTACATGTAAATGGGCTAAATGCTCCAATTAAAAGACACAGACTGGCAAATTGGATAAAGAGTCAAGACCCATCAATGTACTGTATTCAGGAGACCCATCTCACGTGCAGATACACACACAGGCTCAAAATAAAGGGATGGAGGAAGATCTACCAAGCGAATGGAAAACAAAAAAAGGCAGGGGTTGCAATCCTGGTCTCTGATAAAACAGACTTTAAACCAACAAAGATCAAAAGAGACAAAGAAGGCCATTACATAATGGTAAAGGGATCAATTCAACAAGAAGAGCTAACTATCTTAAATATACATGCACGCAATACAGGAGCACCCAGATTCATAAAGCAAGTCCTTAGAGATCTACAAAGAGACTTAGACTCCCACACAATAATAATGGGAGACTTTAACACCCCATTGTCAACATTACACAGACCAACGAGACAGAAAGTTTACAAGGATATCCAGGAATTGAACTCAGCTCTGTACCAAGGGGACCTAATAGGCATCTACAGAACTCTCCACCCCAAATCAACAGAATATACATTCTTTTCAGCACCACATCGCACTTATTCCAAAATTCACCACATAGTTGGAAGTAAAGCACTCCTCAGCAAATGTAAAAGAATAGAAATTATAACAAACTATCTCTCAGACCACAGTGCAATCAAACTAGAACTCAGGATTAAGAAACTCACTCAACACTGCTCAACTACATGGAAACTGAACAACCTGCTCCTGAATGACTACTAGTTACATAACGAAATGAAGGCAGAAATAAAGATGTTCTTTGAAACCAATGAGAACAAAGACACAACATACCAGAATCTCCGGGACACATTTAAAGCAGTGTGTAGAGGGAAATTTATAGCACTAAGTGCCCACAAAAGAAAGCAGGAAAGATCTAAAATAGACTCCCTAACATCACAATTAAAAGAACTAGAGAAGCAAGAGCAAACACATTCAAAAGCTAGCAGAAGGCAAGAAATAACTAAGATCAGAGGAGAACTGAAGGAAATAGAGGCACAAAAAACCCTTCAAAAAATCAATGAATACAGGAGCTGGTTTTCTGAAAAGATCAACAAAATTCATAGACTGCTAGCAAGACTAATAAAGAAGAAAAGAGAGAAGAATCAAATAGACACAATAAAAAATGATAAAGGGGATATCACCACCAATCCCACAGAAATACAAACTACCATCAGAGAATACTATAAACAACTCTACGCAAATAAACTTGAAAATCTAGAAGAAATGGATAAATTCCTCGACACATACACTCTCCCAAGACTAAACCAGGAAGAAGTTTAATCCCTGAATAGACCAATAACAGGCTCTGAAATTGAGGCAATAATTAATAGCCTACCAACCAAAAAGAGTTCAGGGCCAGATGGATTCACAGCCGAATTCTACTAGAGGTACAAGGAGGAGCTGGTACCATTCCTTCTGAAACTATTCCAATCAATAGAAAAAGAGGGAATCCTCCCTAACTCATTTTATGAGGCCAGCATCATCCTGATACCAAAGCCTGGCAGAGACACAACAAAAAAAGAGAATTTTAGACCAATATCCCTGATAAACATCGATGCAAAAATCCTCAATAAAATACTGGCAAACCAAATCCAGCAGCACATCAAAAAGCTTATCCACCACGATCAAGTGGGCTTCATCCCTAGGATGCAAGGCTGGTTCAACATACGCAAATCAATAAACGTAATCCAGCATATAAACAGAACCAAAGACAAAAACCACATGATTATCTCAATAGACATGGAAAAGGCCTTTGACAAAATTCAACAACCCTTCATGCTAAAAACTCTCAATAAATTAGGTATTGATGGGATGTATCTCAAAATAATAAGAGCTATTTATGACAAACCCACAGCCAATATCATACTGAATGGGCAAAAAGTGGAAGCATTCCCTTTGAAAACTGGCACAAGACAGGGATGCCCTCTCTCACCACTCCTATTCAACATAGTGTTGGAAGTTCTGGCCAGGGCAGTCAGGCAGGAGAAAGAAATAAAGGGTATTCAATCAGGAAAAGAGGAAGTCAAATTGTCCCTGTTTGCAGATGACATGATTGTATATTTAGAAAACCCCATCGTCTCAGCCCAAAATCTCCTTAACCTGATAAGCAACTTCAGCAAAGTCTCAGGATACAAAATCAATATGCAAAAATCACAAGCATTCTTATACACCAATAACAGACAAACAGAGAGCCATATCATGAGTGAACTCCCATTCACAATTGCTTCAAAAAGAATAAAATACCTAGGAATCCAACTTACAAGGGATGTGAAGGACCTCTTCAAGGAGAACTACAAACCACTGCTCAACGAAATAAAAGAGGATATGAACAAGTGGAAGAACATTCTATGCTCATGGGTAGGAACAATCAATATTGTGAAAATGGCCATACTGCCCAAGGTAATTTATAGATTCAATGCCATCCCCATCAAGCTACCAATGACTTTCTTCACAGAATTGGAAAAAACTACTTTAAAGTTCATATAGAACCAAAAAAGAGCCTGCATTGCCAAGACAATCCTAAGCCAAAAGAACAAAGCTGGAGGCATCACGCTACCTGACTTCAAACTATACTACAAGGCTACAGTAACCAAAACAGCATGGTACTGGTACCAAAACAGAGATATAGACCAATGGAACAGAACAGAGCCCTCAGAAATAATACCACACATCTGCAACCATCTGATCTTTGACAAACCTGACAAAAACTAGCAATGGGGAAAGCATTCTGTATTTAACAAATGGTGCTGGGAAAACTGGCTAGCCATATGTAGAAAGCTTCCTTCCTTACACCTTATATGAAAATTAAATTCAAGATGGATTAAAGACTTAAATATTAGACCTAAAACCATAAAAACCGTAGAAGAAAACCTAGGCAATACCATTCAGGACATAGGCAAGGGCAAGGACTTCATGTCTAAAACACCAAAAGCAATGGTAACAACAGTCAAAATTGACAAATGGGATCTAATTAAACTAAAGAGCTTCTGCACAGCAAAAGAAACTACCATCAGAGTGAACAGGCAACCTACAGAATGGGAGAAAATTTTTGCAATCTACTCATCTGACAAAGGGCTAATATCTAGAATCTACAAATAAATGAAACAAATTTACAAGAAAAAAACAAACAACCTCATCAAAAATGGGTGAAGGATATGAACAGATACTTCTCAAAAGAAGACATTTATGCAGCCAACAGACATATGAAAAAATGCTCATCATCACTGGCCATCAGAGAAATGCAAATCAAAACCACAATGAGATACCATCTCACACCAGTTGGAATGGTGATCATTAAAAAGTCAGGAAACAACAGGTGCTGGAGAGGATGTGGAGAAATAGGAACACTTTTACACTGTTGGTGGGACCGTAAACTAGTTCAACCATTGTGGAAGTGAGTGTGGCAATTCCTCAAGGATCTAGAACTAGAAATACCATTTGACCCAGCCATCCCATTACTGGGTATATACCCAAAGGATTATAAATCATGCTGCTATAAAGGCACATGCACAGGTATGTTTATTGCAGCACTATTCACAATAGCAAAGACTTGGAACCAACCCAAATGTCCATTAATGATAGACTGGATTAAGAAAATGTGGCACATATGCACCATGGAATACTACGCAGCCATAAAAAAGGATGAGTTCATGTCCTTTGTAGGGACATGGATGAAGCTGAAAACCATCATTCTCAGCAAACTATCACAAGAACAAATAACCAAACACCGCATATTCTCACTCATAGGTGGGAACTGAACAATGAGAACACGTGGACACAGGAAGGGAAACATCACACACCAGGGCCTGTTGTGGGATAGGGGGAGGGGGGAGGGAAAGCATTAGGAGATATACCCGATGTAAATGACGAGTTAATGGGTGCAGCACACCAACATGGCACATGTATACATATGTAACAAACCTGCACATTGCGCACATGTACCCTAGAACTTAAAGTATAATAATAAAAAAAGAAAAGAACCAGTCCCCTGCATGAACAGATTTGGTAACGAGATCCAACCCTAATTGGGTATGGGCCTGGGGCCATTATAATGTGTCACCTGCCTTCCCTCCCTTCTCCTTGCCTGGGAAACATCATGTTTGGTCAGGTGAGATGACCATACTGGAAAGAAAACTCAAATTTGAATCCCAACTCTGTCACTACCAAGGAGACCATGGGAAATTCAGCCTCTCAGAGGCTTCACTTTCTCATCTGTAAAATAAGGCTGTAGAACCTACTTTGTAGGGTTGCTGTAGTAATTAAAGAAGATGATGTATATAAAGCATGAGCATGTTTATTGCAGCACTATTCACAATAGCCAAGATATGGAATCAACCTCGGTATTCAACAATAGATGAATGGGTAACGAAACTGTGGTACATAAATGCCATGGGATACTATTCATCCATAAAAAAGGATAAAATTTTGTCATTGATGGCAACGTGGATGGAACTGGGGGACATTATTTTAAGGCTTATTTTAATAAGCCAGGAATAGAAAGTTAAACACTGCATGTTCTCACTCATATGTGGAAGCTAATATAGACTGATCTCATAGAAGTAAAAAGTAGAAAAGAGGCTACTAGAGGCTGGGAAGGGTAGGGGAAAGGGTGAGAGAGATTTCTTAAAGAATATAAAGTCACAGATAGATAGGAGGAATAAGTTCTAGAGTTCTATACCTCTGTAAAATAACTACGGTCAACAATAATATATTACAGAGTTTCAAATCATAAGAAGGAAGATATTGAATGTTCCCAACACAAAGAAATAATAGATATTTGTGATGATGGACATGTGAATTGCCCTGATCTGACCATTACACATATATGTATTAAAACATCACTATGTATCCCATGAATATGTATAATTATATGCCAATTTAAAAAATAAAACATAGGTACCCAATCCATATGACAGACATCTCCTTAAAATACTGCAGTCTTGTTGGGGACAGGAAAACAAGGGCAACATGCAGACCAGGAAGAGGGATACATGCTGGGGTGGGCAGGAACACCAAGGGAGGCTTTGCCTTCAGTGACTGGGGATGGGGCCAGGTTCTGGACAGATGTGTAGCGACGTTCCTCCTTCTCCTTCAACTGCTGCCTCTCTGAATCCCTGTCCATCTTTGTCAGCATCCCCAAAATACATGACTTTGGACAGGCAACTCAATTCACAATGCCCCACAGAGAACTCAGATTCAACTGTACTGACAATATTAATTGTGGCCAAAGCAACGATAAGGTATGCACTAAGCCAATCAGAAATGTGGAAGGAAAGAGTACCCATGTGCTTTCCTTGTGTGTAAATGATTAACAATGGAACCCAAATGTCAGCAAAAGCAGTAAAAGGCCAGAAAACATGGTTCACATATACCATGAAATACTATGCAGCCATAAAAAAGAACAAGATCATGTCCTTTGCAGCAATATGGATGGAGCTGGAGGCCATTATCCCAAGCAAACTAACACAGGAACAGAAAAACAAATACCTCATGTTCTCACTTACACGTGAGAGCTAAGCAATGATAACATGTGGACACAAAGTGGGGAACCACACACACCGGGAATTACTTGAGGGTGGAGAGCGGGAGAGAGGAGAGGATCAAAAACTACCTATGGGGTACTAGGCTTGTTATGTAACAAAATAATCTGTATACCAAACCTCCAAGACACCCAGTTTATCTACATAACAAACCTGCACAGGTATCCTTGAACCTAAAATAAAAGTTAAAAACAAAAAGTCCGGGGAAAAAATCAGCTGAAGGAACTCAGTGTGAATATCCATGGGCAAAGGCCCACCTGGGAGAAGCTGGGACTACAGGTGTACACCACCATGCCTGGCTAATTTTTTGTTTTTTTGTTTTTTTGAGATGGAGTCTCGCTCTGTCGCCCAGGCTGGAGTGCAGTGGCGCAATCTCGGCTCACTGCAAGCTCCTCCCCCTGGGTTCATGCCATTCTCCTGCCTCAGCCTCCCGAGTAGCTGGGACTACAGACGCCTGCCACCACGCCTGGCTAATTTTTTGTATTTTTAGTAGAGATGGGGTTTCACCGTGTTAGCCAGGATGGTCTCAATCTCCTGACCTCGTGATCCACCTGCCTCGGCCTCCCAAAGTGCTGGGATTATAGGCGCGAGCCACCGCACCTGGCCAATTTTTTGTATTTTCAGTAGAGACAGGGTTTCGTCATGTTGACCAGGCTGGTCTAGAACTCCTGGCTTCAAGGTGATCCACCTGCCTCAGTCTCCCAAAGTGCTGGGATTACAGGCATGAGCCACCGCAGCTGGCCTGAGAAATGCAAATCTTAACCAGACCACCTGTCAAAAGGTTGTGGGGAGCATCAGGAAAGACAGAGGCAATGGGTTCCACCACACTCATGGCCAAGTGACTAAAGAAGACAGGCAAGGAAAATGGAGCTGCCATCGGGCCTCCCTTTCATGGATGAGAATTGCCTGCTTGGTTATGCAGGTAATAAATAATAACATCGAGTGAGTGCCTGGGGCTGGCCATCAGATGTAGAATGTCTCAAGCGTGTCATTTGTGCCTACATCTCCCTTTCAGATCAAGGAACCTCTCCCTAGAGAAGCACCGCAAGGTTGGATGAGCTTGTTCTTTGTGTTGTTAGGTGAATCTCATGAAGACAAGCCATGTTTCCCTCCACTCCATGGCCATATCTTGAAGCTTCACTCTTCTGGGTGATGTAGGTTGGACCCAGGATTTTGAGCCAGAGCCTGTGGCTACATTGGTGGGTGACTGCTGTCAGAGCAAGGAAAACCATCCTAGGGATGGGCTCGACTTACAGAGGTAGCTTTGTTTGTTTGCTTTTGTTTTTGAGGCAAGTCTTGTTCTGTAGCTCAGGCTGGAGTACAGTGGCACGATATCGGTTCACTGCAACCTCTGCCTCCTGGGTTCAAACAATTCTCATGCCTTGGCTTCTCAGAGTAGCTGGGATCATAGGCGCGAGCCACCACACCTGACTAATTTTTGTATTTTTAGTAAAGACAAGGTTCCGCCATGCTGGCCAGGCTGGTCTCGAACTCCTGGCCTCCAGTGATCCACCCACCTCAGCCTGTCAAAGAACTGGGATTACAGGCGTGAGCCACCGCACCCAGCCCAGAGGTAGCTTTTGAAGGTACATTAAATGTGCGGTTTCAACAATCCTTCTGCTTGACCCCTCTGCTCCTCTCCCACTCAAAGGAATTGACTGGCCAACTACAGAGGAAGAATTTCCTGAAAAAGTCTTCTGCTCAGGCAGTTCATTTTAAAAGCAAGTGCTGCTCTGTGGAGGCCCCGTAAGTTCTCTTAAGGACCTTATGCTGGGATTAAGAAGAGCCCTGCACAGTGGTTTTAAGGTGTTCTCAGAACCTGCTTGTTTAAGACTCTCACTTAAACAAGCTATCTGACAGACCTATGGGACTCCAGCTTCATGAAAATACTTTATTCACTTAATATGGATTTACCTGAAGTTTACTTGAAACCAAGTGACCGATGCAACCAGTGACTACTCTCAGAGCTGCTCAAGAAAAATGGTTAAATAAAAAGAGAAAGGGTCTTCTTCCACCTTACAGAGAAAAGCTCTATTAAAAAGTCCTTCAACATTAAAATCTAATTTCATAAAATTTTAAGTCTGCAGCAGGCTCCAGTTTAGTCTCCAAAAGCACACTCCCCCTGCAAAGAGGAAACTCAAAGAAGAAAAGAGAGTTGTCTTTCTGCACAAGGAACATGTTGTCTATACCCAAAGGTGTTCAAGGAACACCCTGAATCTACCCAGGTGCTGAAGCTCCTGCTAGAGGGATTTGGCTTTTAAAAATGTCATAACCACCTCATATGGTTTGGCTCTGTGTTCCCACCCAAATTTCATCTAGAATTGTAATCCCCATGTGTTGAGGGAGGACCTGATGGGAGGTGATTGGATCAAGGCAGCAGTTTCCCTCATGCTGTTCTCGTGATAGTGAGGGAGTTCTCATGAGATCTGATGGTTTTAAAAGCAGGGGTTTTCCCTGTGTGCTCTCTCTCTCCTGCCACCATGTATGCCGTACTTTGCTTCCCCTTCGCCTTCTGCCATGAGTGTAAGTTTCCTGAGGCCTCCCCAGCCATGCACAACTGTGAGTCAATTAAACCTCTTTTCTTGATAAATTACCTCGTCTCAGATAGTATATTTATAGCAGTGTGAAATGGACTAATACACCACCCTTCCCAGGAACTGAATCCTAAGGGAGGAGGAATTTGGGTGCTGTACAACATTATCTCATAGCCTATGTAAGATTCTCACCCAAACCAGGAGCTGAGTGCAATTAGTTACTTGGTTCTCTATATAAGAAACAAAACCAAAAACTCCTATCTGGCTAGTATAGCCAATGCCATAAGAGCTGAGATGAACTCTGTAACCCAAAAGATGCTTAAGTAAGGAAATATTTTCATCAATGATGACAATGGATTTTGGCAAGACAAGGGTTGATTCTTCTCTCCTTTCTCTCATATAATACTTATTTATAATATAAATGAATCCTGAATTGATTTTAGTCTCTTTAAGATGTTTACTTTTTAAATGTGCTAATTCTTTATGATGTACAAACCGAAGTTCATCACCACACAAAGTCTGACTGCTACTCCTTGCAGCAAGAGCTTCAGTGAGGATGCAGCATTTTTTATGTCCTGAGGACGTATGTGTTGAGTAAGTGTTTGTCAAGTGAATTCAGGTAAAGTCAATCTTGCTTCACCTCTGTCTTTTCTTATGAAATGTAGGAAAGGGATATATTTACTCTGGAAAAGTATCCCCAAGTAGACATAACTGAGTTGGTTTTGGAAAGGAAGCGGCCAGATGGTGGCCAGCACCCTGGCCTTTAGTCACTGTACTTACTAGGTCAGCAGCCCTGCGCCCACGGGGTGTATTTTCAGTCCTTTGCCAATTCTAGGGTCTCCTCTCCACCATATAGGTCACCTCCTCTGTTCCCTGGGCCATAGACATTTTCACCCATGCTTGGGGTCATGCAGGCTCCAGTCTTGCAGAAGCAGCTTGAAGAAGCACAGACATCTCTGAGGTTGGAGACTTTGGGGGCCATAAAGTGAATTCATTCAGTTCTGTAAATTCAGACCTCTATAAATTTAGTTCACTTGGAAGAAGCAAGTTGAATTGGAATAAGGGGGCCATGTGAAAAGGGGGAATGGCTGTACATGTGGCAGGATGAGGTGGGAATAAAAGAAAGGGATCTGTGCGCACCCAAGAGAACAGCTGCCCAATACCACCTTGCTTCTGTAGAGCACTTTACTGTCATAAAGCATTTTAATGGATATGAACTTAGTTTTTAAAAAATCTGCATCTCAGACAGGACTGACCCATGGTGTGAAAGGAGTCCAGGTAACAGTGACAAGCCCGGGGGCTGCAACAGGTCTTTCCCTAAATTGTCATTTAACTCTGGGAAGGCTCTTACCTTATTTGAGACTCAGTTTCTCTATAGGTCAAACAAAAACTAAATCGGAATGAGGGCTTGAATTACGTGATTTCTCTGAGTTCCTTCAACTCCAAACCTGGATGATGTCATTTGTTGTAACAAGGTGCTCTTGTGTAACAGATTAGAGTGGGGCTGTTGTGACATAAACAAGGTTAGACTCAACCTTGTAGAGGAAAAACAATGCTGTTGTAGGATTAATTCCAGCCAGGCTGCTTACTCATCAACTGTGTGACCTTAACAAAGTGAGTGAGCCTCTCTGAACCTCAGTTTCCTAATCAGGAAACAATAAGACTCATCTTATAGAATTGTTGTGCATGTTAAATGAAATAGTGAATCTGAAAGCACTTTTAAACTTTAATGACCTATAACAATGTGATAAATTATTATTGTTACCATTATTACCACCATTCCAGAAATTCATTAGCCTTCTAAGAATTACCTGGCAAGGATAACAAATGAATTCAGCAGCCCTTACTACTTGCCCAGCATAAATCCTAATCAGGGAGCATGGCTATTTACAAAGCAGAAAAAAGACATTCTGAAAGTTTAGCTTTTTCACTGCTATGTGACATCGGTGGTATAGACTTCTAGGTCTCCCTCCAGCCCCCTATAAACCACATAGAATAAAGAAAGCCTAGAGTGTTAACAATCATGACTTTCTCTACTATCAGGGCAACACAAACAATCTCTTTATACAGATCTTTCAAAGACCAACAAAATTACCATTCAAATTAAAAATAAATACACCATTGTCTTAGAAAGGTAATATCTGCTCTTCCAAACTTCCAAAAATGATTGGAGCACATCACGACTGGAATCCAAGGACCTGAATGTCCTTTGGACACACGTGGTCTTATTTGAGGTTGCCTAATAAAAAAGCTGACTTCCTGCTGCCATGCCTATGTACAAGCCCCTCCCTGCACATCTGGGGCTGAGTGTTAAGAACTGTACATGAATTCCATTAAATAAGTAGAGAAAAAAAAAAGAATGACACATGCAGACCAGTACAATAGAAGCCCCCTACTCTAAGGTGATTTCTCACCCCCTTTCTTGCCATGACTACGTAGTACCTAGTTATGTATAGGGTTGGAAAGAAGCTTGACAGAAGGCCTTCATCTCTGGGCAATATTTAAGAAGCCTATTTTGGTTTTCTCTGTTCTCTGATGTTCCTAAGCCTGACTGTTTTTAAAGCACTGGGTAACATAAGCCATAGGTTTTGGCAGGGAAGTCTATATACATATATATATATATATGAACCAAGTAACCTTTAAATAGAATCTCAGGGAAACCACAGCTTGCATAGGCTGCATGCAAGAGGAAAAAATGAACTTATTTTTAAAAACCTTAAGTCTTTATTATATTTATTATGGCTTTTTCTTATACCTTGAAAATAAAAGCAAAGATAGCAAGTACTTTAAGAGCAAGACACCATCTTATCTATCCTTTACAATTTCCAGAAGGAGGAGCAAAATAGGCACTTATAAAATGCTTATCACGGCCGGGTGCCGTGGCTCATGCCTGTAATCGCAGCACTTTGGGAAGCTGAGGCAGGTGGATTGCATGAGCTCAGGAGTTTGAGACTAACCTGGGCAACATGGTGAAACCTCATCTCTACAAAAAATACAAAAATTAGCTGGGCATGGTGGCGAACGCAGGTAGTCCCAACTACTTGGGAGATTGAGGTGGGAGGATCACTTGAGCCGAGTGGAGGTTGCAGTGAGCCAAGATTGTGCCACTGCACTCTAGCCTGGATGACAGAGGGAGACACTGTCTCAAAAAAAAAAAAAAAAAAAAAAGCTTATTAAGTTATTTAAAAAGTAAAAAGTTTCATAAAGGAAATATACACTAAATCATGACAATAGTTTCCATATTATTATAAAAGCTCCATTCCAAAATAAAATCAGTGTTAAGAGAAACTGAAACTAATTTCAAATGAACTCAATGAAATATAAGTTCTGTGCTTCATGGAAATTTGGGACCAGAATTAATTCTTGATTCATGCCTATTCCAACTTCAGCCCTGCTGGTCTTCTGAGATATATCATCAACAATTTGACATTCTAATTGGTTAAACTCCATGCATTTTTAAAAAGTCTGAATGTATCTACATAAAGTAAAAACAAAAAAAAGTATATAAAGTTGTTTCAACCAACAGATGTGGGGTAATTGCTAGAAGTGAATGAATATCTTGTCACTACCAATACATTTAGGGATAATTGCTAGAAATAAATGTCTACCTCGTTAATCTGTCACTGCTTGTCACAGTTCTTTCTTTTCCTAAATGCATCACATCTAACACAGAACTGATAAGTAGTAATTGATTTAATCCTCTGAGTAATGCACATCTTCTGTAGGACTAAATACAGTTTTTGCACAGTATATTTACTGCACATTTTATTGAGTAACATGAAAATGAGTGCTGAGTTGGCAGCCTAATAATAAATACCCGTAATGTTATCTGAGTTGCTCTCCTGCATTGACAAAAATGGTGATAAATTAGATTGTAATTGAGACAGAGAAAAAAGACTATTACTTCTAATGCAGAGATTAATTAACCCTCTATCCCAACCCTCATTACCCACTCCTGCTTTCTGGTCAGCATGCAGGTGCAGCCCTGCATCAGAGAGAAGAGCCCAGGGTATTGAGCTGTCACACAGCCCTGCACCCCTGTGGCCATGCAACTTGAACCACATGAGTGGCTTCCGTGGAGAAGTAAGCACTTTACCTTCTTGCACACAGATGGAATTATCACTTGGGATCCAGCCTAGGGTTCCATTAAAATGCTTCAAACACAGTCTCTTTGTAGCGCCCTTCAGCTTGAATCCGTCTTGGCAGTGAAATCGGGCTACAGAGCCTTCAAAGAAAACCCCTCCGCTGGGGGTCCTGAAGCCATTCTCGGGAATGCCGGGGTCAGCACACACTTGAAGGTCATCGAACCCTACATCAACAAAGAGAGGAAAAGGTGCCTATGAATATGTTCTCTCAATGCCAAGGGCCTTCCTACATAAATGGCAGACCCTGCATGATGTCATACGCCTTGGACACTCCAGTTACCCCACCACCAAAGCCAAGGACATTTTAGTGCACATTCTACTCTGCTTTTAGCTCTTTGCTCAGAAAAGCACTGAGTAGAGTTTTCTGTTCAATGGCCAAGTTAGCCTTTCAAGGAAGTTACAGGAGGAGGGAGAAGGAAACAGACAAAAAGGATTTCACATGACAAGTGCCACAAAAGATGTACAAAATGCTGAAGAGAGTTGAGGAGGGAACAGTAGGTGGGAGGGATTCAAGGAGATGGCATCTGAGCCTGGCCTTGAGGAAGGGGTGAAATTTCAAGACAGAACTCTGTGCAGGGAGGCATGGGTGGTTTTCTAACGGTAGAAATGGCATGAACAGTGAATGGCTGGGGACTGGAAGACGGCAGCGTGTGTTGAGGGAGCAGCAAGTGGAATGTAGTTATAACCCAGGGTCTATGGTAGGGGTGGCTGGGAATGCCCTTCCTCCTCCTCTTACCCCTACCCCTATCTGCCAGGGGAACATTCACTCCTCAAGACCTATCCAAGTTTCTCCTCCACCCGGCTGCCTTTCTTAATTTCACTCTCCGCCTGCCTCATCCCTACTTTGTTCCACTGCTGTAGCGTCAACACAGCTGTGTGCTGAATTACCTGCAGAACAGCTGCCTCTCATCCCAGGCTGTGCGCCCTCCAAGAACAAGTCCTATGACTCCATCCTGACATCCCCAGAATCTACCACAGTGTCTTCTGTATTCAGTGCTCCATACCAGTTTGCTGAATGAATAAATGAGGTTGGAGGACAGCAGCTTGAGAGACTGACTGAAAGAGAGAGAGCCCAGAAGCCCAGGCAGGAGAGCAAGCAAGGGTGTGGGTAAGGGGTGATGGGCTGAGAGCAGTGGAGACACAAGGAGGATGCTGGTGTCTGGGACACTTGGATTCTAGGCTCCCCTTGTCAACTGACTGGATGTTGGAGTGAGGAGGAGACCTAAGAAATTTTGTGCCCAGACAGCTGGGATGAATGCGGACAAGCAAAAATGGACATCATGAGCCACAGCTAGGGCCAAGGATAAGGGAGGGTCTGCTGTGTACATAATGCTCCTAATATGTCCTTACTCTAAATGCTCCAAACTTGGGACACTTGAGTTCCAGGCCCCCCTTTTCAACTGACTAGATGTTGGGGTGAGTGAGAGATCTAAGAGATTTTTGTGCCCAGACAGCTTGGATGAAGGCAGATCCCTGAAACAAACACTGATGTCATAAGCCACAGCGAGGGCCAGGGATAAGGGAGGCTCTGCTGTGTGCATAATGCTTTAACCGTGTCCTCAAAGGGAACAATGCAAACTCCAGAACAAGAAACTCCTGAGCCCTACAGAGGCATTCTACTCCATTCTCTTACTCACAAAATCAATAGACAAATCCTTACTGAATGGGTACCAACAACAAATATACATAACTCTATGTAGATGGGGACTGGTGTACTGGTGTGCCCATCCATCCCCACCCCCAGCACAGCCTGCTGGTGCCAGGACAGGCTGGACACCATCAAGATATGATGGGGAAGTCTCAACCCAGACCTAGGAGACAGTAAGTATCATTGGGGCTCTTGCAAGGTTTACCTGGTTCCCAGGAGGATGCTCAGATATCGAACTCATATCTGTTTTTCTCTAACATACTGCACTTGCAGAAGTTCCTCAGCTGCAGGTGAATTCCCCCACCCCAGCTTTTATGTGCTTGTGTAGGATTCACTGGCTTCCCTCCCCACCTGGCTTATGATGCTAGACCCTCTACCACTGTTGCTGTGCTGAAAGCCACACAGCACAGGAGGCATGGCACTGGCAGGATGTCCAGAAGTCATTGTTACAGTGCTTACTTTGTGCAGAGGTGACAAAGAATTGGGGTGAGGGAAAAGCCATTCGAAGGCAGGAAGGAGGAGGGCACAGCATCCACATCTGACACTTGTACTTATTAAGTAGGAGCAGGTCTGATATTTTACCAAACTGATGATGCTTTTACAAAGGAGATAGCATCCAGCCTTCTCAGCCCTCCTGCTGCCACTCTGTTGGGACTAAATACCCCAATAATACAAGTTGTGTTGCAGCCCAGCAGAGGGGTATTTGAAAGTCATTAAATGATGGCTGCATGTTTTTAATTTGGGGGAAAGTATTCTAATTATCAAGTGGTTCCTAAATGATGAATGTCAACCATTTCCTTTCATCTGGAAGGAAGGGCAATCTCATGCCCATTCTATTGCTGCTAGTTTTTCCACTTCATACCATCATGAATATTGAAACATATATTTATGAATATCATGAATATTGAAACATATATTCACGATGGTACTGAGCCATGGGTTCCAGGCTCCCCTTATCAACTGACTGGATGTTGGGGTTAGGAAGAGGTCTAAGACATTTTGTGCCCAGATAGCTGGGATGAAGGCAGATAAGCAAACATAGTGTCATGAGCCATAGCTAGGGCCAAGTATAAGGGAGGGCCTGCTGTTACATATATTGAAACATATATTCATGATGCTATTGAGGTGGAAACATTAGCAGCAATGGAATTCATGGTTTTATATAGTTTAGAAGGCCTAGAAGCACAGATATCCAGAGCCCTGAAACCTGGGTAATCTGGACGTTTCTGGCTATCCATAGGTAAAAGTCATTCTCTCTCATACTATGTCAAATAGAACCAGTGTCAGCTCTCATAATGTTGGGGTGGGGCACATGTATCAGTCAATGGGTGGCCACAGAAGGGCAAGATGAGTGTGCCATAATAGAGGATGGGAACCTCTGCAAAGCCTTGAGTGGGATCCTTGTGAAGAGTAGCCAGAAGGGAGGAAGGGTGCTGTGGGTGCAGGTCGGAAGGTATGGAGGTGGGAAGCTGACCAGCACCTGTCAGGAAAGAGGTGGCTCTGCCAGCTGGGGACAGGGTGCCTGCTAGGGGTGGGGCTGTGGGGATAAAGGAAGGGAAAGAGATGAAGGCAGACTGTGGAAGCTTTGTGTTAGCTCAGGGTTTGGATTCAATGTGGGAGAGAGGGGCATGGGTGTCAAGACTGAGGGTATACATATGTAACTAACCTGCACTTTGTGCACATGTACCCTAGAACTTAAAGTATAAAAAAAAAAAAAAAGACTGAGAGGTTTGAGCAGGGAAGTGATTACGATCAGATTCGCATTTTAGAATGATCTCTCTGGTGCCCATGTGAAGGACTGATGGCTACAGACCAGGAAAAGGGTGGGAAGATCATTTGAAATGGCTCCCAGGACACCAGCTGCACCTCAGGATCATTGGGCACCTTTATCAAAGGACAGATCAATTGAGCCTGGCTCTCTCTGTGTGGGGTGGGGTGGGGCTGCTCTTGGACAGCCAGTCTAGCACTTGTCTGAGGGCAGGCATTTGAGAACTGTGGAATTTCAAGGCTCCTGCAGTACTCCAGGTGAGTCAGAAACAAGGCAAAGACAGTGGAATGGAGAGGGCTACACAGACATTAAGGACACAGAGTCACAAAACCTGGTGACCTCCTGGATGGGGGAGTGATAGTGGGAGTGAGAGAGGAGAGAGGCGTCCAGGATACCTTCCTGGTTCTGGCATCAATGTCAGGGTAGATGGCAGTGCCATGTGCTCAGATTAACAGAACAAGATGAAGAGTGGGCCTAGGGAGAAGGGGGAAGAGTTCAGTGTGGAGTGTGGTGAATCTGAATTCTTGGGGATGCCAGGTATAGATGTCTAGCCATCAGCTGGAGCATGAGCCAGAAGTTCTGCATGGCCTGTGCTGTGCATCCATGTATAGGCAGCAGTCCAAGGCACAGGTGGGCATGCCCTCCTGGAACTAGCACAGTGTGAAGGGAGGAGCAGCTGAGGACACACAAATAAGGGACACCCAGAAAGGATGATAGAGTTTGGCTGTGTCCCCACCCAAATCTCAACTTGAACTGTAGTTCTCATAATCCCCATGTCATGGCAGGGACCAGGTAGGAGGTAATTGAATTATGGGGTGGTTACCTCCATGCTGTTCTTGTGATAGTGAATGAGTTCTCATGAGGTCTGATGGTTTTATAAGGGACTTTCTTCTCTCTCTGCACTTCTCCTTGCTGCCGCCATGTGAAGAAGGATGCGTTTGCTTTCCCTTCTGCCATGATTGTGAGTTTCTTGAGGCCACCCCGGTCCTGTGGAACTATGAATCAATTAAACCTCTTTCCTTTATAATTTACCAAGCCTCGGGTATGTCCTTATAGCAGTGTGAGAACAGACTAATATAAAGGGCATGGAAAATCCAGGACCATCAAGAAGAAAGACCTGACCAGTGTCCCCAAAGCAAGGAAAACAGTTTCAGGAAGGAAGAAATGGACAGCCACATCAATGTGACCCATTGGTCAACTACATAAAGATCTGAAAGCATCCACTAACTGAAGACAGAGAACACTGGGACCACTGCCCATGCAGCTGCAGGGACAGGAAAGGACTGTCCCTGGGTAGGAAGCCTGTCTGCTAACATGTGGAGAGGGAAGGGTGACACAGTATG
The DNA here is from genome assembly GCF_000001405.40 of Homo sapiens. Taxonomy (NCBI): domain Eukaryota; kingdom Metazoa; phylum Chordata; class Mammalia; order Primates; family Hominidae; genus Homo; species Homo sapiens. The sequence continues at coordinate 223,297,247 of NC_000001.11, forward strand.
TGTGGACTGCTCTTTCAGGATGCTTAGTGTGAACAGAAGAACATAGGGAGGCAGCTGCTCATGGACTAGGCCCAAGGGATGGTTTTTATTATTGTTGTACTAAAATTTTAAGATGAAAGAGATCTGAATGTGTCTCTACACAGCAGGAAGAAAAACACTGGAAAATAAAAGCCTGTGGATGAGGACAAGTGACGGAGAGACAGGTGGGGTTAAGTTGTCCCCACCTGAATGTGGGCAGGAAGGTGACCCAGGCCCTGAACAAAGGACTTGTCTCCTACTGAAGCAGGAAGGGAAGTCATGCCAGAACCTCTACCAACGGAAAGTTTTCCCAATAACATGCTCATCATCCAGGACACAGCTGAAATAGTGCCTCTTCCAGAGAGCCTTCCCTCCCCTGCAGAGTCTGAATAGGAGGCCTCTCTTCTCATCAAGGCAACCTGGGCTCACCTCTCTCAGTGTTCCTCACTCTGACCATCATCACTGCTCTACTTAGCGGTCTCCCTCACTGGGCTGTGAACTCCTGGAGGGAAAGAGTAGGTCTTATTCTTCACCTCCTCAGCATCTGGCATGGTGTGTGGTATAAAGTGGACATTCTACAAGTGTTGCTAATGAAGGATAAAGCAAGGGATGGATGGATGGATGGATAGATGGATGGACAGGTGGATGGATGGACAGGTGGATGAATGGGTGGATAGATGGGTAAATGGACAGATGAATAGATGAATGGCTGGCTGGTTGGCTAGGTGAATGGATAAATGGGTAGATGAATAGATGGATAAATGGATGGATGGATGAATGGGTGGATGGATGGATGAATAGATGAATGGCTGGCTGGATGGGTGAATAAGTGGATGGATGGATGCATCGCTAGATGGATGGATGGATGAATGGATGGATGGATGGGTTGGATTGGATGGATGGATAAACAGATAGATGAATGGATGGATGGATGGATGGAGCCTCATGCCAACTACCCTGTTGGACCCATCTGGAACCATCTCCACCCACCAAACAGCAACACCAATGGCACTGACAGTCCCAGGAGCTTATGAATTCCACAGACAAGGGAGATGTGAAATGCCCTCCTATAGCACAGACACACTCTCTCCTAACACCCTTTCACCTTTCTCTCCTCTCCCAAGCTGAGTAGACTATATTCCTTAATTACTTTTTACAAACTTCCCCCAATCCACAGCTCCAAACACTTCAGCCCTCTTCCTCCCTCTCCAGTATGGGGGGCCAGAGGTAGGTCTACACGAGGGATTTGACTGAGACATCTAAGTTCCCCAGCACACACTTTTTGGCCAGTCACCCTCTGCTAACAAACAAGGCGTGCTGAAAGCTGAATGATAGGTACAGAACCCTCAGATGGTCGTATCCCCCACTCTTTGCCATAAAGCTGTTCTCTCTCAGAGAAGGACACACAATTCAAGGGATAACTGAAGATCCAGCCCTGAATCCATCAGAAAAATGACTCCTGCACTGATAAATAAATGATGAGAGTTTCATGGAAGTTACAATGTGAGAGCTGCACAATTTCCTCATGAATTTAATTCTGTATTCTTTCTGCGCTTATTCCTTTCCCTTTAAAAGAACATTCCCATGCACTTCCTCTGTTTTCAAGTAAGCATAGTTAACCTCTGACTGTTTATGTTCCGGTGACAGCATTGAGGATCAGGAATGCTGCCGGCCATGGGCTCCAGCCGTCGGCACAGAACAGGGAATTAAGAATAAGTGGTGAAAAGAGAGCCATCAGAAGATGAGATGGTACAAGAAGAAAATATTCTTCATCTTGGACAACTAATTCCATTGAGCAAGACAGTAATTTTCTAGGGCCTGCCAGAGCTTTAAATTCTACTTTTCAAATTATCCCCTAGCAGATCAATTCCCAGCCTGGGTCATTTTTCTGAAGAGCTGTTCTGTTAGTGTGCTTCCATAATGACAATGATCAGCCCCCTCAAATAACATATCCATTAAGGAGTGGACTGGTGTAGGTGTTAGGGAAGCAGAGTGGAAAATCATTTGCATGCAGGCCCATTCAAATAATCTTATCCTAGGAACCAGTGTTCTCAAAGTCCAAACCTATTTCCTCCCCATTCTTCATATTCTGCTCACGCATGAGAACTAAGTAGTCACAGCTTGGAGAAGAGAAAAGAGTTCACAGAATGATTCCAATATGTTTGTTTTTGGGGGGAGTGGGAGGAGAAGAAAACATTCCATTTTAATCAGCCCTCAGAAGTGGCATCCTTTAGCAGTTCTTCCTAAATTTAATTCAGAGTGGAGCACTTATATATAAGAGATAGCCTTTGTGATGGTTCATTTTATATGCCAGTTTGACTGGGCCACAGGGTACTCAGACATCAATCAAACATGATTCTAGGGGTATGTGTGAGGGTGTTTCTGGATGAGATGAACATTTGAATTGGTAGACTGAGACAAGCAGATTACCCTCCCTAAGGTGGGTGGGCCTCATCCAATTTGTCCAATGCCTGAATAGAACAAATAGCTGAGTAAGGGAGAATTCTCTTCTCTCTGCCTGACTGTCTTCAAGGACGTGGATCTTCTCCTGCCTTTGGACTTGAGCAGACAGGAAATTACATCATTGGCTCTCCTGGGTCTCAGGCCTTTAGACTTAAGCTGGAACTATACTACTGGCTCTCCTGGGTCTCCAAGGAGATACCTATCTATCTGTCCTCCTGCTGGTTCTGTTTCTCTGGAGAACCCAGACTCATACAGTCTTCCTAAAAATACTAGAGTACTTTACAAATGTGAATGACACATATGCTGAATGTCCCTCCACCCAGAGGATGCTCTTTCTCTCTGGATCCCTGAGTTCTGGTAAGCAGTCATCTAGTGGGGAAAGCACCTGGGTCCTGGGGTCAGAGCAGACCAGGGGCAGGGTCCTGGCCTGCAGTACCCCCTGGGGCTGACACACCCTCTCCATTACTGGCATCACCGTCACTGGCACCCATTTTCCTGCCCAGCATTTGTGACCTCAGGAACAAATCAGGAGGAGTATTGTAATTTGGACTCTGGTTCTCAATGAAGGCTGAGATCCCCTCTTTCTTTTCTCCTAACCAAAAACTGTGTGAGTAACAGGGATTGAGAGTGCCCCTCTCTTCTCATGCAAAGACACCCTCAGTTTCTTTATAAGGTCTTGACACTTCTGGTTTGGTTACTTTTGAGCCTGCTGAAACCTACCAGTTTTACTGTGAGCAACATAAGAAGTCTTTAAAAAGAATCATAAAAATGAAAGAGGTGTGAAAAGCAATCTTTTGGGTTATTATAACTGAAAAGTCATATTCTAGAGAGGAAGAGTGTATCAAATGTAGCCAAATCAATTTAGAACTAAGGCTGGGTTTCCATTTCTCTGTAAACTGCTATATGAGGCTTTGGAGGAAGAAAAAGGATATACACACAAAAATTGATTTTGTATGCACTGACTTAGTGAGAGGGTCCTGGGGCTAGTGAAAAAGGGCATCCCTGTGAAAGTTTAAACAGACGGATTTGCAAATGCTCACTGGAATCAAGACCAACCCCAAAAGCATGCCCATCCTCCATCCTGCAGTAGCACTATCAGTCTCACATGGTTGCCATTAAAGCCATTTTAGAGGTCATCTAGTTTGACCCCTTTGTCTCCCAGAGGAGGACACTGAGGCTGTGAACAACATAAGAAGTCTTTTAAAAGAATCATAAAAATGAAAGGTGTGAAAAGCAATCTTTGGGGTTATTCTAACTGAAAAATCACTCTAACAGCTAATCACAGGGCTGGGACTAAACTCTGAGGCTTCTGACTTGCAGTCCAATGTTCTTGCTGTTGTCTCTACTTAGCCTTTTCCTACCATATTTCAGTTTGTGAATGACTCAGATCTTCATGATATTATATAAACTCTTTAGGGAAAGAACAGTTTAACATGTTTTTGAGTCCTTATATCTGTTAAAACAGGGCTGAGCAAATAGCAATGCTGGAATATTTAATGATTCAATAGAATACAATCCTCATGTTTCCCCCAAAGCCCACACCTCCCAGCACACAGTCTCAGTGTGATGGGGCCAGGGATCCTGACTTGTCACTTAAAACATCCCAGAATCCAGGCAGTCAGTTCTCAAACATCTATTGACCACCGCATGGTCTGTACCACATTCCTGGGGATGAAAGGTATTCTTGGAGAGAACACAACCTAAGCCAGATATTGGTTTCATGAAACAGAGTTAGTTCTAGAGACTGGAGTACACATTGCCCTCAGCAGTAAAATAAAGAGAGAAGGATGTGGTAAACTTGAAGAAGTCCCTTCTTGACCCACTTAAGAGCTTTTCCCCCCTTACTTCTAAACATTCTCATCTAGCTTCCCACAGGCTGAGATCAGCCTTTTTCTCATCACCAGCAATGCAGGTAAACCACCCAACTGTTAAAATATCTCTGTGCATCAATAACCCTTTATGCTGAGGAGGGAATCTTTCCGTCTCATGAGAGGAAAAACTTCAAAAAACCTTGCCTATTTTTAAAGACAAAGTTTAGTCATCTGGGCATGTTAGTAAAGGATACGAACTAAAATGAACCGTGTCAGTTTCTGAGGATCTGTTGATGAGGGGCCTTTTAACCATCTCCTTACTGCCAACACACACCTCACCTTACACCACCTTGAGTTTCCCATCATCTCAAAATCCCTTGCTCTTAGAATGACCTGATATGGTTTGGCTCCGTGTCCCCACCCAAAATCTCATGTTGAACTGTAATCTCCAGTGTTAGAGGTGGGGCCTGGTGGGAGATGATTGGAACATGGGGGTGGTTTCTAATGGTTTAGCACCATCCCCCTAGTGCTGTCTCCTGATACAGTTCTCACAAGTTGTTTAAAAGTGTGTGGCACCTTCCCCTTTGCTTTCTCTTCCTCCTGCTCCAGCCACGTAAGATGTGCCTGCTTCCCCTTCACCTTCCACCATGATTGTAAGTTTCCTGAGGCCTACCCAGAAGCAAAAGCCTGTACAGCCTGCAGAACCATGAGCACAATTAAACCTCTTTTCTTTATAAATTACCCAGTCTTAAGTATGTCTTTATAGCAGTGTGAGAACAGACTAATACAGACCTTAACTCATAAATGAACATGTCCAGTGATAGCCTAACTTATCCAGGGTAAGACAAATGCCCAGCAACTATTTGAGCTAATATTGTATCTAGACCAAGGCATCAGCACAACTGTACTTCAGGCTGGTCCGTGCCCTTGCCACCAATGTCCATCCTGACATTGCTTCCAGGTGTGTGCCTGCACCAACAACAGATGGAGGACTCCTCCTGAGCCTGAGTCTAGAGAAGTTCTACATGTTCTGGAGATCCACCCTGAGCCAAGGTCAGGCTCAAACATTCTGAGGGCCCCCTGCCCCAATGATAGGTAGCTCAAGGACTGCCAAACATTTTCCAGAAAATGTTAGAAAGACTGACTAACCCGGACCCCAGGGCTGCCTGGGAATACCTCAACTGTCAAAGAGATGGAGCAGAAGAAAAGCACATCCAAACTAACCTGCCTCTGGAGGAGATGCCCGCGTGGGCCAGGAGAATAAGAGAAGGTCCCAGAACCAGCAAGCACTAGAAATAGCAGGAGATACAGACACACTGTGAAAATTACAACTAACATTAATAAGGAAACGTGATTGCTTTATAAAAATTCATCACTTTGCTTAAGTCTAGGAGTTTCAGACCAGCCTCGGCAACACAACAAGACCACATCTCTAAAAAAACAAATAAATAAAATTAAAATTATCTGGGCATGGTGGTATGCTCCTATAGTCCTAGCTACTCAGGAGGCTGAAGTGGGAAGATCACTTGAGCCCAGGAGTTCGAGGCTATAGTGAGCTACGGTGTGATTGTGCCACTATACCCAAGCCTGGGCAACAGAGCAAGACCCTATCTCAAAAACACCCCCAAAATCATTGATAACACATATGTCCATAAGAAGATCATTATTAAGTATTCCTTGACCTCTGTTCCAGCCTAAACAATCTCTGTTTGGGAAAACTTCAGCTCTTGGTTTTTAAAAAGAAAAGGGAAAGAGAGAAAATAATTTTAAAAAATAGATATGAAGAAAGAAAAATTATAATCTGTTTATATATTCACTCCATCAACAAACAGTGCTGGGCACTGGGGGAAGGAGCGGACAGGCATTCATTCAACCAACAATGGGAACCTGAGTCTTCCAAAGAGTGAGCTTACATCTAGGACATTCAATAGTTTTTGACCTGCAAATTGTGACCTTACAGGACATTCAATAGTTTTTGACCTGCAAATTGTGACCTTATAGTAGTATTGCAGGATCTGGCCAGCAGCCCGCAATGCAATGGGGCTCTTTCCTTGTTCCCAGGTGGATCGGCAGGTCGAGAAATAATAGACATACACAAGATAGTGAAAGCTGGGTCCAGGAGGGTCACCACCTTCTGGTCCCATGAGCCGCCAATGTACTGGATATGCCAGCATTTATTATTAAGTTTAGTGAGGGCAGGGGAAGGTTAGTGAGGGATTTAGGGTCATTTGATTATGAGGTGAGATGGTCACATGGGGATGAAGTAATTCTTTAACATAACATCTGTATGCAGTACAGTATACAGAGATAAGAATTTACAATATAGTGTGTGCATCAGTAATTTCTAACAGAGCCTTAAAACAGAAACACAGTCTTTCTATAACCTATGATTAGCAAGATATTAATCAGCAGTAACAGTTGCAGCAAAAGCTGGTTACAAACAATCCATAGAAACAGGATGTGAAGCTAGACAACCAGTTAGACTAGAAATTCTCAGAAGGGAGTATGTCTTAACCCTAAAGAGGCCTAGAAGAGCCGTGGCAAGATGAGGGCGTTTATAGGCCTGTCTTATCCATATGAACAGGCGCCCCTCATGCGTCCGTTTATAGGCTCTCCACAAGGGTCGCATTCCATTCCCAGAGCTATGAACATCTGCTTTTCTGGGATAGGAATCTTGGTGATGTTAAACCTCCCTGACTTCAGGTCCGTTCACAGGCTCTCTGCAGGGGGAAGCACATCACATGCTGTTGGCTCATTCTGGCAGTCCAACCTGGCATTGTCTTTACACAATCCTGCATGCAATTTTGTATTTACAATAATCAGAAGCATTTCATCTTTTATTCTGTAGCAATAGTTTCAGGGGGTCTCCCTACATAGTAGGTCCTGAAATCAATTTTAAGGGTCTTGACCAGCACCCTTTAGAAATGAAGTGGAACAGAAAAGAAAAGTCCATACACACCCTGCATGGTAACGGTGAGTATTGTTTTGTGTGGTTTTACTAGTTTTATTTGTGCATACAGGCTAGTTTGCAATGTATATTCCAGTGGGTCACAGTCAAAAAGGTTTGAAAAACACTACTTTCAATACACTCCACCTTGTCATGATACTCAAAAACATACGTACTTTCAATAATGTAGCTGGTGCTTATAGGCACAGGTTGTAGAGTGAGAATGTATACTTTGAATCCCGACTCTGCCATCCTCTAGCTGTGTAACTCTGGGTAAGTTCCTTAACCTCTCTGTGTCTCAGGTTTCCATATATATATATATATATATATATATATATATATATATATATATATATATATATATATATATATGCTATGTGATTAATATTCAACCAGTTCCCCGAAGAATGAAAACATATTGCTTCATACAGAGGCAATTCTCTAAATTCCTAGAGCCATGTTAATATCTGAAAATATTCAAGCCTATTCTTTCTCCTAACTTTTGCTAGAATAAAGTGTCTTTGATGATTTTGATGATGACAATTGAACTTAGGAGCAATAACAAATATTTCTAAATAGAGTCCTTCTCTTGGCCACAAGGTCAAGCTATGAAACAGTTGATGGTAAGCCACAAACCTCTAGAGAATTAAAGTGATTTCTTCAAGAGCCAGGCTTGCAGGGGAAATCTAAGGGCCGGCAGCCTTTCATGCACAGACAGCTCAGCTCTGGCCTTTGTTCTAAGAGACAGCAGCCAGCTCCTGAGGGAAGCTCTCCACTGGTCTCTTTGGGGGTGTGCAATCAAGCTTCAAAGAACCCCCTGATTTGGGCACAGGGAAGTGCATGTTTCTGGGCACCCATGAGACTAAGCAAAAGCAAAACCCAACCACCAAATGGGAACACCAAGGATTCTAAGATTTATGGGGAAAGAGCTCAGAGCAAAAAAGGAGGCTGAAGACAAATTTTCCAATAAGAGACAATACAAAAAATTCATCAAAGAAAATCAAAGGTTCCCAAATTAATTTTCTTGTTTGTGAATTTAGTGCTATGTCATTCCTTAATTCAGTGTATTGTCAGTCATATATTTAAGAGGTGGGAGGGGAAGCTGATTACTGTTTACCATTTATTAGGCAAAATAGATTTTTCACTGCAAAAGCAGTACCCCTTGGGAAATACAACAAAAGAAAACCAGAAAGCAAGACTGGGCTAGTTAGTATAGTCATACTTCTGCCATATAGCACGATATACTATTTATTATAGCAAATTTATACCAACAAGGCACACTTAAACCTAGTTTTTTGAAGACATGGGAATGAGTTGGGGGATGCAGAATTCATCCATGTGGGCTAAAGGCTTAGTATGCAGATTCTATTACCCAGAAACTACATTGAACACTGCACTCATGATTGTAAACACAGTATCAACTCTGAATATTTGGATGCTAATCAAATTAGGTAACTCTTGCCTAGAAATAGTGAGAATGTTTTAATGTTTCAAGAAATATTCAGAGATGAATATAAAGTCGGCTATGTCTGAACAAGTAAACGTCACAAAAATAAGTCTTAATAGCATAATTTAGACTTGATTAAAATGGATAAAGACCACAGATGTGGAAGTCATTGCAGTCCCCATTTGATGCCAGAACTGATATTTTCCCCTCTCTTGATTTAATTCGCTTTGATTACCCAATTATTCCTAAATCCTTTCACTCAGTTTCAGCTCCAATAAAACTGATAACAATGCTAACTCATAATGTGATTTTCACTCCAGTCTCATGAAACTGCTCTATAAAAGCATGCCCAGCAACTTCACAAAATTCTTCCAGATTGTGGTATTATATCATGGGAAAACAGAATAAACCTTCATCTATTCAAAATCAAGCAAGCACAGAAAACCACTCATCAGGAAAATCTGAGGATTCACTTCATCAACAGGAAGATGGTGGCAGGGAAGTCTTGCATTTGTAAGTTTTAAGATTATCAATTGTCGAAACATTTGAAGAAGGCATGGGTAATTTTTTTGTTTTTGAGATAGGGTCTCACTCTGTCACCCAGGCTGGAGTGCAGTGGCACAATCTCAGCTCACTGCAGCCTCTACCTCCTAGGCTCAAGCGATCCTCACACCTCATCCTCTTGAGTAGCTGGGACTACAGGTGTGTGCCACCATGCCTGGATAATTTTTTATGTTTTTGGTAGAGACAGAATTTTGTCATGTTGCCCAAGCTGGTCTTGAACTCCTGAGCACAAGCGATCTGCCCATCTTGGCCTCCCAAAGTGCTGGGATTACAGGCATAAGCCACCAGATAATTTTTTAACTGATTAATATGGTCAAAGATGTGGCTCTTTTCTAAAGCACATCCTTATTAAGTATAATGAAAGCTACCTGTCTAGCTAACCCTGTGATGCTAGACAAGTAACTTGATCTTTCTGGGTGTTAATATCTTATCACTAAATGAGGCATATGGATGAGTTTTTTTTTTTGGGGGGGGGTGTCCCTTCCACTTCTAAATTCTACAGTTTATAGTCTTTTCTTTTACAAATTATTTTAAGTATTTTTATTTTATTTTTATAGAGACAGGATCTCAACACATTGCCTAGGCTGGTCTCTGACTCCTAGGTGGCTCCCTCCTTGGCCTCCCAAAGTGCTGGGATTACAGGCGTGAGCCACCACATCCAGCCAGTCTCTTCTTGAAAAAACCTCCCAAAGCACAAGCACTTAGACTGAAGCAGCCCAGAAGACAATGCATGGGGCAATCTCAACATGCCTATGGCTATTTGTTGTTTTTTATGAAATCAAATTTCCTTTCTTTTCTGTGAGCAACAGCTTTAGTGCAATACTAAAATACGTTTTCCACATGGATACAACTTCACAGTTTACAATGCGTTTTACATATACAATCTCATTTCATCCATACAACAACCCCATGAGATCAATGACAGTTTGATAGGATTAGTTCTCACAGTTGCTTTATGAAAATCCAACTGTTAATAGTAACAACTTTCAAACACTCTTTTTTTAGTGATACTGAATATTCCTTCCCTTACATAGCTCATTTGTAAACTAGAGTCCAGATAGCATGTGAGGTTTTCAATCTCTATGCAGATTCTCAAGTGCCACTGGGACTTTTGCGGGGGGATTGGAGATGGGGAGGAAGAACAAGACACTATGTGAAACAGAAGATACTATGGGAAATAGAAAGCGCTGGCTGACTCCAGACAGTGTGTGCAAGAAGACTGTGTTCTTTCACTACCCGGGTTATCCACGGTGCTGGTGACAGGTGAACCTCAGTACATGCTTAGTCAAGCAACAAGATTAGGGCTCTGGGTTTTGTTGTTGTTGTCGTACTTTGTTTTTTTTAAAGATTAGCTTGAGGAAAATCTTGCTCCTATCACCTTTATAAATTTATCATGAAAAACTTTCCCAGATGTTCTGGTAGCCACCAATTCTGTTCTTTCCCCCCATGCTGTCCTTGGACAACAACAGCTAATTATTGATCAGTTATTCGGATTTGTGCCAGCAAATCCTTTATCTGAATATAGTGGGATAACTTACTTAAATAGTAATTTATTTTAAATACAAAGTGTTTTCATCTTTTTTTAAGGCTATTTAAGTCAAATGGGATTTTTATAAGAATATTCTGAAAACTATGTGATATGGTTTGGATCTGTGTCCCCACCCAAGTCTCATGTTGAACTGTAATCCTCAGTGTTGGAGGTGGGGCCTGGTGGGAGGTGATTGGATCATGGGGTTGGATTTCTCATGAATGGTTCAGCACATCCCCTTGGTGCTGTTCTTGTGATAGTGAGTGAGTTCTCTTGAGATGTGGTTGTTTTAAAGTGTGTGGCACCTCCCCCACCCTCTTGTTCCTGCTCTTACCATGTGAGACACCTGCTTCCCCTTCACCTTCCACCATGATTGTAAGGTCCCTGACGCCTCCCCAGAAGCCCAGCAGAGGCTAGCATCATGCTTCCTACACAGCCTGCAGACCCGTAAGCTAATAAAACCTCTTTCCTTATAAATTACCCAGTCTCAGGTATTTCTTTATAACAATGTGAGAATGGCCTAATACATTAAGAAATAATATATAAGCATATATAAGCTGAAACTGTTCAGGAATAACAAAATTACAGAATGTTATTGCTGGATAAAAATCTTAGAATTTACTGAAATAATTTCCCTCATTTTATAGTAGAGAAATTTGAGACCAAAAAATGTAAACAACTGTGCCAGCTCCCACAGCTCTGAGTGACAAGAGGGAGTAGAACCTGGGAGCCAGATCTCTAATCTGGGTTTCCTTCTATTCTGAGGGCAGCAAAACAATCCTCTGAGGTGGGCCTGCAATACTTTGCCCCCTACTACTGGAATGGCATCTTGACCTGATGGCACTTGTACTTCAGACCACTACCAAAAGTTATCTCCCAGAAAATCACAAAGACCATGAAATATGAAGAATTCCCTCTAAACAAGGATGAAACATAAAGGATTTACTTATAAGGATGACGATATGAACTCATCCAAAAAGACTTGTATAGAGTATGTCATTCTCTGACTATAAAAATTTGGGGAAACATTATTCTTCTGATGCAGAAAGAGAGTTGTTGTTTTTCTCCCTCTTCCAATCAACCATCTCTTAACAGGGTAAGACATAGAACAAAAACAAAAACACCTTGCTGTAACAAACCAACAGGGATTCAAAGTAAAATTACAGAGGTAGCATAATTAAATATAAAGAGGTAGCCCAGTACACACCCCAACTATCTTGGAGATATCTGCACACCACTACACATGGATCAGCCTCATCCTTTTGAATGGCTGCAGATAAAAGGAGTGCACTTACACCCGCACTCTGCTGTCTACCTATTCATTATTGGTTATCTTTGTTAGCAGAAGAAAGCTTCTTCTGGGGGAAGCAGAATGGAGGACAGAGACCCCGGAGAGCTTCTCCAGGGATAAGAGGGAAACAACAGGACCTCTCTAGGTTCTACTCGCAGGTCAGAGCACTGGGCTTGAAGTGGTGCTCAGGACTGGGGAGGGGCTACCGTGAGTAGGACTGAGTTCCTAAGGGGCAACCTGAGCCCTCTCACTATAGCAGTGCCCAAGATGCTGGCTAGATTATATTTAATTTAGAGAAATACAGGAAGGTGACATTTCTTGTCTCATTCTCCAAACTAAGCATCAATCCTGGTGTGTAAGTTTGGTGTGAACAGGTATGAATCCTGGTAGCAGCTATTCTAGAATGCCTGAGGCCTGGATGAAAGGCATTTCTGAGGACAAGATGCATTCCACCAGAAGACTAGTCTTTTTTAATAACATCCTGACATATCTTTGACTAGCAGAGACTTCTCTGATCTTATTTTGTCACTCATAAATCATGGATAATTTGGTTTCTCCTGTGTGACCTCTGTGCTTACAGGGTTCCACATCAAATCCACTGGAGTTGTGTCTCTGAGTTCTAACATCTGGTCTACACAAGAACTCCAGCACTGTGGCTGGACAGGACCACGGCGTGCCTGGGACTGGCAGGTGGGCTTCACTGATGGCCCATTGGTGATAAGCTGGACCTGGACACTTTCAGGTGCAGGCCTGAAGGGGCTGCTCATTTTATCTTTTACTGAGTCCCATGGTCCTGGAGGGCCATTTCTCTCCCTAAGTTGGACAGCCCTGGGACAGTGCCTTTAACCAGACAGAGAGGTCAGTGATGTGGATGCTGCTCTGTGTGGAAGAACCAGCCTCTGAACCCAGTGCTGTGATTCTTATATAAGCACAGCTGTGATGCTATGACCTTGGGCTGCAGCAAGGATGTGGACTCCCTGCTATCCCTCCACTGGAAAGCCTTATATAAAATCTCATAGCACGCTGATTCCCAAGCATGGTCAGACTTTCTCAGGAGCACCTGTACATGAGGCACCTGAGCCAAAACAATTCCTAACAGTCTATTCAGAAACCATTGAAACTATGTTTTTGAAGATTTGCTAATTATTAGTGTTAATGATTAAGGGACAATTCCCCATATATATGTTAACTAAACAACAACAATAAAAGAAATACAATACAAAAGTGTATACAGCATGATTCTTTTTTGAGGGAATACACAAAAAAGACGTGTGCACATGGAAAAAAATGAAAACAAATATACCTAAATATTAACCATGCTATTTAAGATTGAATGTTGATGGGTGATTTTTCTATTTTTCCTTACATATTTCTGTTTCTTCCAATTTTCTACAATGAACATTCATAATCAAGAAAAAAATGCTATTTAAAAAAATGAACTCTAATGGCACAGACTGTTAAATTGAGGGTAGGTCAGAAATGGCCCATGTGGCCCTCTATAGACACAGTCTCAAAGATTCAAAATGAAGCAGTGAGGTGCCTCTAGAGGCATGTGGCACAGAGGACTAGCTGTGTTTTGGTGGGTATTAAATTCCACAGAGGTACCTGCAAATAACATAATGTCCCTTTAGTGCCCCCTCTAAATCATCTCCCTGCCTGAGAAGTGGCGTTCACTCTGAGATGCCCAAGACTCTGAAGGTCTGCAGTGCTGACATGTAGAATGTGCAGGTGTGCTTTATAGCTCTCCTCCCCAAGAAGGTAGCCTGTGTGCTGCAAATAAATGGTGTTCACACTAGGCAGGTACCATGAGACAAGGAGAGAAATAACACAGATGGATGCCGAGGAAAAAGCAGTCGTCTGTTCAGGATTGATAATGAACCATTACATCCTATCTGAAGCTACTTAATTTCCGAAACACTGTTTTATAAATATGCTGTCAATGGAGTTAGTTGGTTTGTGAAGAAAGGAAGTAAATCAGAAATGGGTTGACGAAATACCACCAGTTCCCAAAACAAATATCTTTCTCTCTGGTTTTAGCCTGAACACTACCTGGAGGATAAAAGGAAATGCTACATATGATGTAAGTGCTCTCCAGGCAGCCTGTGCTGCTGCTGAACAGCTTTGCTTCCAAAATAATGATAATAATACTAATAATGACAATCACAGTCACTAAAGGGCAGGGAGGTATTGGCCCTTTTTATCTGCAGATTTCTATCCTAATTTACGGTTTAAGTGGCATGTTACAGTAGTGACGGAGGTAGATGGTGTTTGTGAATAGCCAAATATGGGAATAAACTCATGTAAGATGAGTGCAAGAAAAAAATTGCAAACAGATTCTTGTTTATACAGAAATAGGCTCAGATTTTTTATTGTTTGTTTTTCTTGCAAAACATTATAAATCCTCAAACCTCTACAACATAGAAGCAAATAAGTCTTCCTTTCTCTAGTGTCGAAATGCAGACTGTACTATCATTATAGGGCAGAAAACAAAACAAAACAGAAAAATCTGCACTGAGAACTTAGGTGAAACAGGGGCTTGCATTGTATCTGTCTGTGTCCTTTCATTGCTGAGAGCAGTGTAGAACTTTACGCTCCAGGATTCAGCTGTTTGCTGATTTGCTCTAAACTCAATTCATTTTCTAATTTCATCTCTTTGATGTTATTCCAGTGAGAAGCCTGCAGGTAGTACCTCCACCAGGAAGATATTATTAATTAGCAGCCAACAGGGTGAGCAGAAATCACGTGCTCCATTTGCACAGCTAATGGTTCGGTTCATGAATGGTTCTCAAAATATTTTACACCAGCCAATCTGAAAAAACATATGATTCTGGTTAAATTTAAGGACTCTTGGATCCTGCAGGCCCAGATATTCATACCTTGAGCAGCCATGCAAATGAGAGTGTCATCATTTCAAAGTTCAATAGGAAGAAAATGAAGCAGCTGCTATTTAATTTTTTATGGAGCCTACAATTTGTCTCATTAGTGGGCAAATAGGACAGGCTGGGAACTAAAAGCTATCTAGGCCTCAACTCTGCAGGACAGAAAAAAAGTGATCTGTATCAAATCACTCACTCGGGCTCCTGGGGATAGGGTTAGACTGGCTGGTGCTGGGGAAAGGGCACCTGGCTCCAAATCCTGGCTGCTAGGCAGGCTCCATCACCTCACTGATACATGACCTTTGGCAAAGTACAGAAGGTTCCAGAGCCTCATGACCGTATCTAAAAACAGAGGAATTTGGAATTACCCTGTCCATCTCTCAGAGCTGTGGAGCACCTGGGAGGCAAGAATCCCTGGTGCTTTGAAAACTCCAAAAGGCTGTTCAAATGCAATTTGAGAATGACCTGGATACCTGGATTGTTAAACTGAGGCCCAAGGGTAGCAGATTTGACTGCAATCACAGAGGTACAGCCCTGAGGCTGGGCTCCCTCATTCAGGATTCAAGGAAAATCCCTACATTCTCTCTCTCTACTCACAGTGTCACCCATCAGCCAGTGAGGCAGATGAGGAAAGGAAGGCTGAAGCCAGCATGTTTCCTAGGTCATTTCCAGCGTAGGAACACAGTGATGTTACCTGGTAACAAGTCATGGCAACTTGCTGATAGAAGTCAAGACACTAAGCAGAGCAAGTCTGGGGAAATAGGCAAGGGGCAAAGAGTCAATAGAGCTCCACTATGTTACAAAGAATTTGGCTGGCCTTGTCCCTGCTTCCGGAGTTTTGTCCAACTCCTTGCAATTTCCTTATAGAAGTATCTTATTATTCATGGCGAACCTTGATAGTTTATGCTCACAAGGTGACTGATGATCTCCAGATAGTTTATGCTAAAGAGGTGACTCAGGATGGGGGCTGGCCATGCCAGAAAGATCAACCATGTGATTAGAGGGTTGGGACTTTGAGTCACATGATCTCAGTCTGACCTCTGACAAGGAGAGGGGGCATGCAGATTGAGTCCAACCACGTGGCTGATGAGTTAATCAATCATGCCTATGTAATGGAGCCTTGGTAGAAACTCTGGACACCAAAGCTTGGGTGAGTCTAGTGATATACGTGGATGTACCAGGAGGGTGATGCATTCTGAGGACATGAAAGATTTGCATTTGGGACCCTCCCAGACCTTATCCTATGTGTGTCTTCTTTGGGATGGTTCTGATTTGCATCCTTTATATCCTATATATCCTTTATCTTCCTGAGTTCTGTGAGTTGTTCTAGTAAATTATGAAACCTGAGGGGGTAGTAGTGTCAGAGGCATTTGAACTAGGGTGACTCCATCTTGAATAGGGGCTGAGTAAATAAGGCTGAGACCTACTGGACTGTATTCCCAGAAGGTTACACATTCTAAGTCACCAGATAAGATAGGAGGTCAGCACAAGGTAAGGTCACAAAAACCTTGCTGATAAAAGAATGCTGTAAAGAAGCTGGCCAAAACCCACCAAAACCAAGATGGCTATGAAAGTGACCTCTGGTCATCCTCACTGCTCATTACACACTAATTATAAGGCATTAATTAGCATGCTAAAAGACACTCCTGCCAGCACCACGGCAGCTTACAAATGCCATGGCAACATCAGCAAGTTACCCCATATGGTCTAAAAAGGAGAGGAACCCTCAGTTCCAGGAATTGCCCACCCCTTCCCGGGAAAACTCACAAATAACACCCCTTATTTAGCATATAATCAAGAAATAACCATAAAAAATAGCCAAACAGCAGCCCTCAGAACTGCCCTGCCTATGGAGTAGCCATTCTTTATTCCTTTACTTTCTTAATAAACTTGCTATCACTTTACTCTATGGATTTGCCTCAAATTCTTTCTTGTGTAAGATCCAAGAATCCTCTCTTGGGGTCCGGATCAGTAACAGCTTTACCATCACGTAGTTCTGTGACTTTATGCCTGTTACTAAACCTTTTCATCTCCCCAAACTCACTCTGGCAAAAGGGGAAAACAATACCTGACACATGGAGTAATGAGGACTGAATGAAATACCACACCAAGTCCTGGATAAACATTCAGTGAGCGGAAATCTGACCTCAGCGGGGTGGCGGAACAGAGCTGAAAGTTACATAGATCTACAACTTGTGTCACATCTAAGACTCAGGGTAGGATGCTCGTTGGTGAGCAGTGATGATGCCATGACCCACACAGACTGGGGGAGACATGAGTGGGACAGAAAGATTTCAAAAATAGGAAGATGAGCTGAAAAGGCTCCATGATAGGGTTTGGCTGTGTCCCCATCCAAATCTCATCTTGGATTGTAGCTCCCATAATTCCCACATGTTATGGGAGGGACCTGGTGGGAGGTCATTGAATCATGGGGGCGGGTCTTTCCCGTGCTATTCTCATCATAGTGAATAAGAGATCTCACGAGATCTGATGGTTTATAAGGGGAGTTTCCTTGCACGAGCTCTCTTCTCTTGTCTACCACCATGTGAGACGTCCCTTTCACCTTCTGCCATGAGTGTGAGGCCTCCCCAGCCATGTGGCACTGTGAGTCCATTAAACCTCTTTCTTTTGTAAATTGCCCAGTCTCAGGTATGTCTTTAACAGCAGCATGAAAACAAACTAATACACTCCAGAAATCTTATCTGACAGTGTCTGATGAGATCTCTATCTGCCGAGAATTTTCTCCCCTAGAACAAAGATTGTGTCTTTCAGGCTCTGCCTCAGATGGGAAAGAGGAGGCTGAGGGAGTGGAGCTCTGAGACCACTACTTAATTTATATTTTCTATACTAGAGTTCTATAACCACCTTTGCAAAATGATGACAGTAGAAGAAATCTGTCATGGCTGACCCCATCTTGCTTCTAGTCTTACAGGCTGGCTGTCTTTGCTCATTCCTGGGTGTAAGCCAAGCTATGTTTGGGAGACATTTAGTTTATAGTTTAAATGATAGCGGGTCTTCCCCCAAAGCTTAACTGCCTTTGCAGAGCTAATGAAGGGCCATCAGGTTAGGAGGACGTTAGAAGGTTGAATTCTGCTAAAGTGTAGACATAAACCATTACCAGCCATTATTCTGGAGGTCAGAAGATACCTTCTCTAATTACTCAACTTCTCTAATTACTCCTGCAGATAACGTCACTATTGCAGAACCTAAGATTGGTCTTTTGAGATGGCTTTTCAGGTTTTTGCATTTCTGACTACCAATGGCTCCAACTGGACCCGCGGACTCCGCCAACTGGTCCTGTGGCCCCACCCACAAGCAGACTCCCTGGCCCGCCAAACTATCGTTGAAAAACCCTAGCGTCTGCATTTTCAGAGAGATTGATTTGAGTAATAACACCAACTTCCATGTAGCACAGCTGGCCTTCTGACTATTAAACGCTTTCTTTATCGCATTGCCGTGGTCTGGTTTTGTCTATGCAGGGAGAAGGAAGAATCCATCAGATGGCTACAATTCCAGGTAAAATTCATCTGAAAAAAAAATTTTTCCGCTATTTCTCTTTAAGTTGGTCTCAGAGAACAGATCTGATCACTACGGCAGCTGCTCCTCAGCACCTGAGCCTGAGTTTCAAGAATTAGACATCAAAGTTAAAGTGACAAGCCCTTGGGAGGAAGAGACTGCTGATTAGAAGTCTTGATTGCAAGGGAAGGGGATGCTAGACATATACAGTCTGTCTTAGAAGCCTACATTTACAATGGCAGGTTTTCAAAAGGTCAAAGAAAAACAGGGCTGATTCTATAGTGTGACTCTAGAAGAAAAGGGGACACACAAGTGTTGAGAAGCTCTGCCACCCATGGAAAGTGGCTCAGATGTGAGACCTGCATACAAAGCCTGCAAGGAAGGGCACCAAGGTGATCAAGGATGCAGAGAGGTGCAGCGGGGGCTGGCAAGGAGAATAACAGGGCAGAAGAGAGGCTGCAACCCAAAATGACTTGGGAAAATCTTAAGCACCCAAAAAAGGTAGGGGCATGGGGATGGAGAGAAACTTCATTGGTGCATTTATCCAGAAATCAGTTGCTGGCACAAGGCCAGCCACTTCTGGGGAGAAGTGAGGGAGAATATCTCTCCTTTTTATAGCATTCTGATGGGGGTGCCGAAATAATACTGCCTTGCTGCATCCCATGGCTTACAGGGTTATCGCTAGGAATGGCTCCTTCAGTCTTCAAGCTCCTCTCCACTCTCCTCCACACTCCTGGCCACATGGGAACCTGGAGGAAGGGGGTTGGAACAAAGCCAGGACAGACACCAAGCAGGACTGGACGTTTCTCCTCACCCCTGACAACTGCCCCTGGAGAAGCCCGTTGACCTGCCTCCTCCTTCTCTGAAGATGAGTCTGTCCCAGAATGCTCCCCCATTCAAAAGGACTTCTGCCAGGTCCAGGATGGAACTACTAGGTCAGAACCATGCCCAGTGGAGGGCAAAAGGGAGGCTGAGCTGGGGCTCACATTCACACACCCATTTTATAACCAAGGAGACAGAGGCTCAGAGAAGTCAAGTAATTTGCCCAAGGTCCCCAAGTTAGTAGGTCACAGGGCAGGATCCAAATGCAGGTCTGTCTGGCCCCCTCCGCCTCCCTGCACAACCGTCCCTAGAGGCCTTAACTGTAGGATCTGGTTGGCCAAAGAAGGCAAGAGAGGGTGTCTGAGGCAAGGAGAGGCACCTAGGAGAGGAGGGGGGCCTTGGAGATGACGATGAGTCTGGCAGCGCAGACCTTGTAAAGGCATCATCAACCAGAGGTTAGGCTGATGGAAGTGTCAGAGGTATGTGAACCAGAGCAACTCCATCTTGACTAGGAGCTGGATAAAATGAGACTGAAACCTACTGGGCTGCATTCCCAGATGGTTAAGGCATTGTAAGCCACAGGATGACATAAGAGGTCAGCACAAGATATAGGTCATAAAGACCTTGCTGATAAAACAGGTGGCAGTAAAGAAGCCAGCTAAAACCCACCAAAACCAAGATGACGACAAGAGTGGTCTCTGGTCATCCTCACTGCTACACTCCGACCAGTGCCATGACAGTTTACAAATGCCATGGCAACATCAGAAAGTTATCCTATATGGCCTTAAAAGGGGAAGCATGAATAATCCACCCCTTATTTAGCATAAAATCAAGAAATAACCATAAAAATGGGCAACCCGCCCCTCTTGGCTGCTGTGTCTATGGAGTAGCCATTCTTTTATTCCTCTTGCTTTCACTTTACTCTATGGACTCTCCCTGAATTCTTTCTTGCATGAGACTCAAGAACCCTCTTTTGGGGTCCGGATTGGGACCCCTTTCCTGGAACAGGTGAAGGCCTTCAGGTCAAGCAGCAGAGTCTTTGGACGTTCTTGTGTCTCAACCTGGTCCTGGAAGTACTTTGTTTTGAAATTGCATTTAGTCTTTCAGAAAGTCCTCAAGAAACTTGGGTAAATGGTCTTTGCCAACAGTTCATATTTCTCTTTTACTCCCAAAAGGAAATTTATTATTATATTTATGATTATTATTAAATCAATGTCTCTCATGAGGCCAGGAAGCCCATTTGCTCCAGATTCGCTGCCCTGAGTTGCCCTGACTTCACTGGGAGCTCGTCAATGCTTGCCCTTCTTTTTTTTTTTTTTTTCTTTTTTTTTTTTTTTTTTATTATACTCTAAGTTTTAGGGTACATGTGCACATTGTGCAGGTTAGTTACATATGTATACATGTGCCATGCTGGTGCGCTGCACCCACCAACGTGTCATCTAGCATTAGGTATATCTCCCAATGCTATCCCTCCCCCCTCCCCCGACCCCACCACAGTCCCCAGAGTGTGATATTCCCCTTCCTGTGTCCATGTGATCTCATTGTTCAATTCCCACCTATGAGTGAGAATATGCGGTGTTTGGTTTTTTGTTCTTGCGATAGTTTACTGAGAATGATGGTTTCCAATTTCATCCATGTCCCTACAAAGGACATGAACTCATCATTTTTTATGGCTGTATAGTATTCCATGGTGTATATGTGCCACATTTTCTTAATCCAGTCTATCATTGTTGGACATTTGGGTTGGTTCCAAGTCTTTGCTATTGTGAATAGTGCCGCAATAAACATACGTGTGCATGTGTCTTTATAGCAGCATGATTTATAGTCCTTTGGGTATATACCCAGTAATGGGATGGCTGGGTCAAATGGTATTTCTAGTTCTAGATCCCTGAGGAATCGCCACGCTGACTTCCACAATGGTTGAACTAGTTTACAGTCCCACCAACAGTGTAAAAGTGTTCCTATTTCTCCACATCCTCTCCAGCACCTGTTGTTTCCTGACTTTTTAAT
Source organism: Homo sapiens (assembly GCF_000001405.40). Lineage (NCBI taxonomy): Eukaryota > Metazoa > Chordata > Mammalia > Primates > Hominidae > Homo > Homo sapiens. The sequence goes on from NC_000001.11 coordinate 223,318,540, forward strand.
GATTGCCATTCTAACTGGTGTGAGATGATATCTCATAGTGGTTTTGATTTGCATTTCTCTGATGGCCAGTGATGATGAGCATTTCTTCATGTGTTTTTTGGCTGCATAAATGTCTTCTTTTGAGAAGTGTCTGTTCATGTCCTTCGCCCACTTTTTGATGGGGTTGTTTGTGAAAATGGCCATACTGCCCAAGGTAATTTACAGATTCAATGCCATCCCCATCAAGCTACCAATGACTTTCTTCACAGAATTGGAAAAAACTACTTTAAAGTTCATATGGAACCAAAAAAGAGCCCGCATCGCCAAGTCAATCCTAAGCCAAAAGAACAAAGCTGGAGGCATCACACTACCTGACTTCAAACTATACTACAAGGCTACAGTAACCAAAACAGCATGGTACTGGTACCAAAACAGAGATATAGATCAATGGAACAGAACAGAGCCCTCAGAAATAATGCCGCATATCTACAACTATCTGATCTTTGACAAACCTGAGAAAAACAAGCAATGGGGAAAGGATTCCCTATTTAATAAATGGTGCTGGGAAAACTGGCTAGCCATATGTAGAAAGCTGAAACTGGATCCCTTCCTTACACCTTATACAAAAATCAATTCAAGATGGATTAAAGATTTAAATGTTAGACCTAAAACCATAAAAACCCTAGAAGAAAACCTAGGCATTACCATTCAGGACATAGGCGTGGGCAAGGACTTCATGTCCAAAACACCAAAAGCAATGGCAACAAAAGCCAAAATTGACAAATGGGATCTAATTAAACTAAAGAGCTTCTGCACAGCAAAAGAAACTACCATCAGAGTGAACAGGCAACCTACAACATGGGAGAAAATTTTCGCAACCTACTCATCTGACAAAGGGCTAATATCCAGAATCTACAATGAACTCAAACAAATTTACAAGAAAATGCTTGCCCTTCTTAATACAAGATGAACGAGTCCAGCAGGCTCTGTCCCTCTCAGCAGGCTGGGTTAATAACCTGCTCACAATACACCCCCTTAATCCACTCCTGGGTCATCTTCATCTACCCAAAGGACACACTGAAAATTCACCAACACACCAACATGAGACAACAGGAAACACAAGACAGACTGGTTTTCACAGGTAGGAGGGAATACAGCGGCCCTTTCAATAGGACCAGCTTCTTTTCTGGGGGCATGTTTCTTCTTGCTGAATTTTAATCCACGGTTTCTTTATGTTTGTCAATGAAATCAAAAGTTTCACACTGACACTTCCAACTAGCAAAGAAAGTAATGCTTAGGAGCATGCTTCCCCTCCCTTACCTTTTTCACTGCAGAACTATTGGTAGGAGGGGTGGATGGTGGAAAAGGCAAGGGCTCGAAGCCAATCAGATCTGGGTTCAAATCCAGTCGTACCACTTATTAGGAAGGTGGTCTTGGCTGGACAAGTTACTTTCCTCCTATGACTCCATTTTCTCATCAGCGAAGCCAGGTGAACACCCACGGCATTGTGATAAGGATTAGAAGTGCTCCTAAGAGCTGGCACAATGCCTGATGCAGGGACGCCTCCTAAGCCCTCCCGAAGCTTCCCTTTGTTCTTGCTCATCCAGGAGAGATTTCTTTGTTAAATGATTTCTTCTGGGAGTTACACTTTTGTCCTTTAAAAAAAAAGTAGGTGAATGTAGAAAAAGCAACTTTTACCTCCTCTCTCTCTGTCCCCAACATCTCAATAAATATCGCACATCTAAAAGAGACAGCAGTGCAGTATTTGCCCTGTTCTGTTTGTAATGTGACGACATCATCAGGGGAGGGAAGGTGGGTATGGGGTGGTCCTTAAGAAGTGCTGTGCCTGTGAGCTGAAATGCACTCAGCATGTAGAACAAGACCAGGACACTAGGCGCTCCCTCTGGGCCTGAGCTAGCTGCTCTCCTTCCACACAGGCATACCCTGGGTGGTTGTGTCCCTCCGCTTCTCGGGGTGTTGCACAGAGGCCCCCAAGGACATCTGGCTAAACACGGGTAGCAGAAGTGGGGGCAATGGGTTTGTCTGCTAACATCAACATCTTCCTTGAGTGGAACAGAGCAAGGGGGCAGCAGACACACAGAAAGAATTCCTACAAAAGAAAATAAAGGAAGCTGTGGGATCCAGTACCCTGCAGCTCACACAGGAAGAGGGACACCTCTCTTTAGTCTGAGAGTCTCAGAGCACTACTGTTACAAAAGTATGTTTTCTTGCTCAATGCCCTGAGCTCAGGAAGGGCCGTCCCAGGACAGTGCCTCATCTCCACAAGCCCCAAGCTGAGGACCTGGCTCCACTAACAACTCTGTCATTCACAAATTTGTCCCAATCCTTTTTGAAACTAGTTAAATTGCACCTGGCCTTCTGTGTGAAGTGGTATTTCCTTTAAGTTTTTTCTAGATTTACTTCTTGCAAGTTTCAAAGGTACTACCCTCATTCTAATAGCCTCTCATTCCACATGTGGCATGATCTTCCGAATTTCAATCCTGACCTCTCTCATGCCTCACCTGTCCAGACCAAAGAGTCCTAGTGTTCACAGGTGTCTTTTCAGTGACAGCCCGCTTCTCATCTGATCAGGCCATTGCCCTACTCCACAAGACGTGCCCACTCTCTGAAAGAAACGCTGACACTGCACAGCCAGTGAAAAGCAGAGACAGGCCTACTCCAGGCTCAGGTACCAGACCTGAGGGCTCCTTCCTGCTTTTCTTCAGCATTTTGGGAGGCAGTACACGGCAAAGACAGATGCAGAGACCTGCATGCGATCCTGACTCAGTCCATTTCTAGCTGTGTGACTTGGGGCAAGTCAATGAACCTCTTTAGGTCTCAGTTTTCTCATCTATAAAATGGAGATAATAAAGCACTTACTGGCCAGGGCTGTTACGAGGTTTAAAGGAGATATTCTATGTAGCTCACTGAGAACTCTGCCTGGTCCATGGTAAGTAATCAATATCTGTTATTATCTTCACCATCACCCAGTGCCCTTCATCTCTTCTGGGGAGAATTTGCTGACTTCTCTGGGCAGCATGTGTTTCTTCCTTTGTCCCTTTCTAATGCCATGTTTCTATCACTAGCGTAGAACTTACCTTGTTGCTGGAATCATGTGTTTGTGGATCCAATGAAACCAGGTATTCTAAATCTTTTTGAACCATGGATGCCTTTGGCAATCTGGTGAAGCACATGGACCCTTTCAAAATAATGTTTTTAAATGCATAAAATAAAAAGCATAGTATTATGAAGGAAACTGGTTATACTGAAATATAGTTATCAAAATATTTTTTAAACAGATCTGTGATATGGCAGTATGTGTGCTTCTTTATTAAAACATCAAATAACGTTTACTTTGGGTCTAATACGGGTAGAGTATCTCTTATCTAAAACTCCTGGGACCAGAAGTGTTTCAGACTTCAAATGTTTTCAGATTTTGGAATATTTACAGTATAGTTACCGATTGAGCATCCCAAATCCCAAAATCCAAAACCCAGAACACTCCAATGAGCATTTCCTTTGAGCATCAGGTCAGCACTCAAAAAGTTTTGGGTTTCAGAGCATTTTGGATTTCGGATTTCCGGATTGGAGATGCTTAGCCTGTAATAACACTAATTGATGATATGAGATTGTGAGATATTTATAACAACTGTGGGCGATACGAAAATATCTGTGACTCCTACAGGTGACAGAGTCACAGGTACTGCTCAGCTTACTCTAGTCAATTTCCTACCTCCAGAAGAAAAGGAAATGTTAAACTTTGGTTAGAGATTAGTAAAATTAAAAGGTAAATTGTTTTCTCATCTAAGCTCACAGACCTCTTGAATTCTGTTGAGAACCTTGAGGCAGACTGTGAGTTTCTAAGAGTTCGTGTCCTATTTATCTAACTTCAGTGTCAAGCATAGAGCATGGTACACAGGAAAGACCTAACACATCGATTTTTCAATTAATGAATTTAGGACATTGTGCCAGGTGCTACAAAACAGACAAGGCTCCTGCCCTCTAGAAGCTAAAATCTGTACACAAATAATTGTGATATAAGATAAGAGGTGGCAAATGCCATGAGGTAGGAGATTAGAAGGGTAGGCAGCCCTGGGGTGTGTGTGTGTGTATGGTGAGTGTGTGGTGTGTGCATGTGTGTCTGTTGACATGTAGGTACGTGTGTGTGTGCATATGCATGCGAGGCGGGGAGCAGAAGACTGCAATGGGAACAGTGCATTCACCAAATTATCTTGAAATTATTCGTCATGAATCTAACCCCCTGACTAGGGTAAGCTTTTCATGGACAGAGACCATGTGTTATTTATGCTTAGGCAACAGGCATGGTATTTTGAAAATATTAAACTGATATGTTTTTCATTCCCTTATAATCATGCTCCCTGCAGCCTTTACACAATTACAGCTAAGCCTTTCCCCAAGGAAGAAAAGCAGAGCACTGAGGAAGGCCACAGAGGAAAGCAGGATATGATGGAGAAAGGGTAGCACCTGCCTCCACAGGCAGAGGAAGCAGACGGCCCTTCCAGTTTCGCCTTTAGGTAGAGACTGAAAGAAGAGAGAAAGGAGGTGCTGAAGAGCAGTGCTGGGGAGCATGTTCCTGCTCCTCCTCTCTTAGGGGCTGATCTCACAATGACGGAGGGTGAAGGGAGTGAGGGAGAGTGACAAAAAGGAAGGAGGAAGGAAGGAGGGGGATGGAAGGAAAGAGGAAAAGAAGGAAGGGAGAGAGGGAGGGATGGAAGGAAAGAGGAAAAGAAGGAGGAAAAAAGGAGAAGAGAGGTTAAGTGAAGAAGCTAAAAGCTGTTTTCTGCATCCCTTTGAGATTATGGGTGCATGAAACCAGCATGCAAATGCCTCCACATCAACATGAGATGTCCCCAGTAGACAGAAAATGGTGGTGTGTAGAGTTCTGATCAACAGGGGCCCCAGAGAGCACTCACAAGAGTCACTTGACTTCCATGTGGCATGCAAGGATCCAATGAGAGACATGTAATAGAGCTGAAGATTGAGGGTGGAAGGGTCCAGCCATGAGGCTGCCATGGAGACAGGGATGGGGGCTTCATAGCTAAATGGCAGGGTAGACCACCCAGGCCAGGTACAGGATGCAGGGTGAGGCCAAGACTCAGAGGGTAGAGACCAGTCTGCCAGTGACTGTGCCAAGAGACCTCAAGACTGAGTCACAGTAGCTGTGAACTCCAGCCCTGAATGCCAGCAGGATGCATGATGACAAAAGGGCAAGGACTCAGGAGAAGCACTCAAGGCCAGGATGCTCTGGCCCACTGCTATGAGGACATCGAGGCTTCCTCTACTCCAGATGCCATTTAAGAAGGAGGGCAAAGGGAGAACATCTGAGAAGCAGAAACAACCCAGATAGAAAGTCTGAACCTGGAATCAATCTGCCCAATTATTTTAAAAAAAAAGAGACCTTAACTGAAGCAGCTAATTTAGCTTATGGGAAATACATTTAAGGGGTCTTTCACCATCTGTGGATGTGAGGTTTCATTGCCACATGAAAAGCCACAGGAAGTAAAGAGCACATGTATTTCTTATCTTTACTTTTTGGCACATCCGACTGACTGCAATGCATAAGTTTCAACTTTCCTCCATCCCTCCACATCCCATTGTAATTCCAGTATCTAGTATGGCATCAGGCACATAGTGGGCATGCAGTAAATGCTTATGAAGATGAGCTCAGCCTAGGTACACAGGAAGCAATGACAAGTGACAGCTAACAGATGGCCATGAAGAGAAAGGAAAACAAAACACAGAATCAAAGACATAAGGGCTGTGACAAAGGCAGAGTGTCTTGGGGCCATTGGGTGTATGGGCAAATGGCTGCTGTGACTGTCATCCATTGGCTGCTAGAATCACTTCATAGTGACTGTTCACAATGAAGACCCAAGACACCAATATTTAAGGAGGCAGGAAAATACATATTTACAAAGATTCCCATCCAAAATGGTTACTTTAAAAAGGTATCTTAAAAGCTTAAAACATAGCTCATAATAATATTAATTTCCACAGAACTTACCACTCCTCCAAAGATGCTGGATCAGTAAGACACAAATGCACTTTGCTTCTCCTCTCTCAAGATCAGTCTGGAAATGCAGTTATCTCCCTTTCCAGGATCTATTTCCATGTGACCCTTCATGGATACCCAGCTTTATCTAGTAGGGCAGCAAACTTTCTTAGAGGGGCCTGCAGACTTCCTTTAGATGGACGAGATACCACCCACAACAGCACTTGGGAGGGTAAAGGCTGAATCAGGTCCCTTCATGAATGAGGAAAGAGGAGGCAATGGACACTGATGGGTACAAGCAGCAGGCAGAGCCTAACTCTAACTGCATCTGCTGTTCTCACTAGCAGGGTCTTTATTTGTAAACACGTACTCACATTTCCCCCACCTCCTACCTAAGATCAATGCACCGTACTCCAGGAAGGGGTACTTTACTTGTGTTTCTCTCTGATACCCACTCCACAATGCAGTTGAGATGGGCTTATGACTCTTCTGCCTTCATTTTGCCAAGTGGGGGAAGAAACCAAGGCATTTGGAAATTCTTATGATTTGGTTAGGTCATACCCAGCCAGGACTGGAACGAAAGCCAGTTCTCATTATGTAGCTTGGCATCAGTATCCCTTCTCTCCTGTCTTCCCCCAAAGAAAAGAAAAACTTTGCAGTGTGCTGAGGTCTTTATTTAAACAAGAAGCAAACAAAAAATAACCCCAAGCAAATTAAAAAATAAAAATTTCCAAATAATACCATCATTTTTTCCCCATGAGCCATGAGAAGAAATTCAGAAAAGACATGATTCTAACAGAAATATATCGAGAGTGATGGGGAGATTAATTTTGGAAGTTATGGTAATTCTACCAAATTCCAAGGAAAGAAAATTCATAATTCATATCAAGCTTCATCAACATACATAATGTTCTGTAAACCAGGTTTAATTCATCCTATGGTTTCACCCATTCACCACAAAGAACAAGAGAAAATGACTTTCCCAAGCAAGAGCAATTAGGCAAGAGAAAGAAAGGGGGCATCCAAATTGGAAAAGAGGAAGTCAAACTATCCCCATTTGCAGATGATATTATCATATATCTAGAAAACCCTGAAGACTCTTCCAAAAGACTTCTAGATTTGATAAACAAATTCAGTAAAGTCTCAGGTTACAAAATCAATGTACACACATCAGTAGCACTGCTATACACCAACAATGACCAAGCTGAGAATCAAATCAAGAACTCAATTTTTTTTACAACAGCTGCAAACAACAACAAAACCTAGAAATATACTTAACCAAGGAGGTGAAAGATCTCCCTACGGAGAACTATAAAACACTGCTGAAAGAAATCATAGATAGCATAAACAAACAGAAACATATCCCATGCTCATGGATGGGAGGAATCAATACTGTGAAAATGACTACACTGCCCAAAGCAATCTACAGATTCTATGCAATGCCCATCAAAATACCAAAATCATTTTTCACAGAATTAGAAAAAACAATCCTAAAATTCATATGGTACCAAAAAAGAGCCCAGCATAAAGAACAAATCTGGAGGCATAACATTACCAGACCTCAAATTATACTACAAGGGTGTAGTTACCAAAACAGCATGGTACTGGTATAAAAATAGGCACATAGACCAATGGAACAGAATAGAGAAACCAGAAATAAAGCCAAATACGTACAGCCAACTGATCTTCAACAAGGCATACAAAAACATAAACTGGGGAATGGACACCATATTTAGTAAATGATGCTGGAAAAACTGGCAAGCCACATGTGGAAAAATGAAACTGGATACTTACCTCTTACCTTATACAAAAACCAACTCAAGATGGATGAAAGATTTAAAGACCTGAAACCATAAAAATTCTAGAAAACAACATTGGAAAAACTTTTCTAAACATCAGCCTAGGCAAAGAATTCATGACTAAGACCCCAAAAGCAAATGCAACAAAAACAAAAATAAATAAATGGGACTTAATTAAACTAAAGAGCTTCTGTACAGCAAAAGAAATAATAACCAGAGTAAACAGACAATCCACAGAATGAAAGAAAATATTTGCAAACTACGCATCTGACAAAGGACTAGTAGCCAGAATCTACAAGAAACTCAAACAAATCCGCAAGAAAAAAACAAACAATCCTATTAAAAAGTGGGCAAAGGAAATGAATAGATATTTCTCAAAAGAAGATATACAAATGGCCAACAAACATGAAAAAATGCTAAACATCACCAATCATCAGGGAAATGCAAATTAAAATCACAATGAGATACCACCTTACTCCAGCAAGAATGGCCATTACTAAAAAGTCAAAAAACAATTGATGTTGGTATGGATGTGGGAAAAAGGGAATGACATACTGCTAGTGAAAATGTAAACTAGTATAACCTCTATGGAAAACAGTATGGAGATTCCTTAAAGAGCTAAAAGTAGATCTACCATTCAATCCGGCAATCCCACTACTGGGCATCTACCCAAAGGAAGATGAGTCATTATATGAAAAAGACACTTGTACATGTATGTTTATAGCAGCACAATTCACAATTGCAAAAATATGGAACCAACCCAAGTGTCCACTGATTAAAGAAAATATTGCATATATACACCATGGAATACTACTCTGCCATGTAAAGGAACAAAATAATGTCTTTGCAGCAACTTGGATGGAGCTGGAGGCCATTATTCTAACTGAAGTAAGACAGCAGTGAAAGACCAAAAACAGTATGTTCTCACTTATAAGTAGGAACTAAGCTATGAGTACTCAAAGGCATACATTGATATAATGGACTTTGGAGACTCAGAAGTGGGAGGAGACTGGGAGTAGGGAATAGGGATAAAAAACTACATATTAGGTACAATGTACATGACTCAGCTGATGGGTACACTAAAATATCAGAATTCACCACTATAAAACTCATCCATGTAACAAAAGATCCACTTGTAACACAAAAGCTACTGAAATAAAAATGTTTTAAAAACAAAGAAAATGACCTTCCTATTACATGATTCAAACCTGACTGTGTGACCCTGCCATGCTTGGGGCCACAAGGCTAAAGGAGCTCCTGGAGAAAGGCCCTAGATTCTACAAACTCCACAGTTCCGATAACCCAGCAAGGGGCACAAGGCCACTTCTGGCCCATAGGGAGCCTTCAAGCATTTAGAAAAAGGCAGACACAATTCCAGGTCAGGGCCCCGGCATGGCCCAGGCATAATGAGCAAAGCATCTCCTCACCTGGCACCTTGGGCCAGGTGCCATCTGCCTAACCCTATCACAGGCAGTTGTCACCCGCCTCAGAAATTCGTTAAGAGGTTGCATTTAAGTACAAAATCTCCTTGGTCAAACCCTCTAATCATTTGGAAAGCAGCAATGTGTAGAAAATATATCTTCCTGAAGGGTGATGTCTTGCTTGGCTCTGATCCCCAGGAAAGAGTACAGTAGGGAGAAGAGAGATCCCAACACCGGTCTCCAATCTCTTTATCCACAAAGGCAACCTTTTCTTCCATACTCAAGAGTGGAGAAAGAGCACTACAGGGGTAATGTCATCTGTCATTCCTAATTAGTGTTCTCTAAAAAAAAAAAAAAGTTTTTAAAAGAATATTGGCATCTTTCAACTCTGTTATTAGACATAATAATCACAATGTCAACATGTCCAAGCATGACTATTAGTAACAACATCTTACATTTGTTGGACTCATGTTTTATAAAGGGCTCTCCAGTACAGCATCTCACTTAATCCTTCCTATTCGGTCCTTACAGCCTCTATTTTAAAGATAAGGAAGCCGGGGCTCTGAGATGTTAACTGGCTTGCTTAAGGTCTCACAGTAGGTGGCAGAGCCAGGACTAAGCCCCACCAGTCCCCTTCCTCCTCTCTGGCCATCCAATTCTCTGGGCAGGGTTGCCTGAATTGCTCTGAAGATAGAATACACCTATTCTGTTCTTGAGAAGTTCTCAATTCTTCTGGTGAGACTTTTCAGTGACTTCTCCCTGTCAAAAGGTACCTCTGTGTTTATTTTTCCACCTGACTGCCCACACCATTCAAGGACACAGTATTACCATCCAGGTGAAGAAAGACAATGCTCGCTGTTGCCTCTGCCGCTCATCAAGCGCCTCCCAAGCCTCTCATTATTTCCCCAAGTTCTGATTTTAGGAGTGTCTGCAAAGCTTCCTGGCTTGTGTCGACCTGATTCAGCCAATACTACCAGACCCATGTGTCAGCAGCTACACCTCAGGGGCAGGCTCTGCTTCCTTGGCTGGTAGACCAGCTGGCACCTCAGAATCCATCAGGGTTTCTGCCACTCAGGGTTAAATTTGGCTCCCTAGTGGAGGCAAGTCCTGGCTGTATTGTCCCTACCATGACTCCACAAACTTTAATTTTGGCCTGGAGTTTTATGACTATTAGCACCATTCTCCATCCACAAGACTTCCAAATCTCTCTGTCACTGGACAGCTTAGGGCCAAGAAAGCAAAAATTAGTCACTGTGTTCAGTCCTGCCCAACAACTTTCAGTTGTGCAAAGTTGATGACCCCGTCCTAAGACTCAGACATCCTACTGCCTCCCTCCACCAGCATCTCCCCTTCCTCTCCAGCTCCCTGACCTCTCTGTGGGTAATTCTCACTTTAATTCACAGCTTTATCAACGGGCATAAACAAGAGGGAGAATGGGGGGCTTTGAAGTCCAGTATTGTATTTATCATCATGGAGAAGGCTGAAACTCACATGTAGATAAAATTTGGGATTATCAATGGCCTTCATTTCTACTCAAGTTGTCCTATTCTTGATCAATAATGAACAAGGATATAGCTGTGAGTTGTCTGCTCTGACTTAATAATTTATCATCTCATTCCAAAAACACTTTTGCCTGAAATTGCCCTGCCTTTCCCCATATGTGCACTCTCTAAGTGCAAGCCCAATGTCCCTTTTCCCAAAGTTCTAACTTTCCCTCCTCTAGCTTTTCCCAGCATTCCACCTACACATTCCTTTTTGCTTTCTCTATTTTATAGTCATTTGTGTTCTGTGTTCATCTCTGCCTCTAAGCTCCTGAAAGGCACACACTCCTGATTTGGCTCTGCATCCCTAAAGTTCTTACTTCTGGGCCTTTCACAGGCATGGAGCTCAGTGAAAGATAACTTAATGAATGGACAGATGGACAGAACAATGGATGGATGAACATATGGACAGATGGATGGATGAACGATAGCACTGGAGTTCAGTGAAAATGACATAGTGAATGGACAGATGAACAGAAGGATGGATGGATGAACAGATAGAGAGATGAATAGATAAATGAATGGATGGATGGATGGATGGATGATTGGATGAATGGAAGAACAGATGGACAGATGGATGGATGGATGGCTGAATGGCAGTATAGATGAATGGATGGATGAACAGATGGACAGATGAATGAATGGATGGATAAATGGATGAATAGATGAACAAACGGAAAGATGGACGGATGACTGGACAGACAAATGTGTGGATGGACAGGTGGATGAATGGCAGTATAGATGGATGGATAATAAGTGTATAGATGGAAGGAGGGAAGAAGGGACATTCTCTTCATGCATGCTACTACAACCTCCTCTCCTTTTGTATTTCTTTGGGAAAGCAACTCGCATTCATTCTCATTATCACACTCATTTGATTCCTAAGCACGTTCTCAGCTGGGGAGGTTTTGCAATTTCTCTACTGCCACCACTAAATTAAAAGCACACTGGCATACTGTAGCAAGGGAAAGCTATAAAAGGTCCAAAACTTGAAGGGCTAGATTTCCAGCTAAACCACAATCCACATATCACTGTTCTCACTCATATTTAAGAAATAAAAGTTTTCTGTTTGGAAAATTCCCCAGGCCTTTCTTCTCTCACCTGCTTAATATGCCTTCCAAGTTCTGCTGGAATATCTTTATTCTTTCCTAAAACTCTCATTGCCTATTTTCATCAAATTTTAAGTCATAAGTAAGAAGATTCAGAAAACAACAAACGAGAAAATAAAGTCCACACAAAGAAAAACAAAACAGGTTAGTCGATGGCAAAAGGAATATCTGCCAATAACAACACCATTTGTCTTAGTTACTGCTTTTAACTTGCTCTCTCTCCTGGCATTAATAGAAATAAAACTGCATGTCTCCGGCCTCATGCAGCTAATGTACAGTTAGCACCCCAGGCAACAGGAGCCACAGAGTTCAAGTACAGTGGAGACAAATTCAAGTAAACAGATTGTAGACACAATTGATTGCAGCATTTAGTTCCATGGCACTATTCACCATAGCTGGTGGGTTTCATGTAAAAACAAGGGAGTCTCATGGTGGGACAGCCCCATGTAGTCAGCTAGGGCCTCCACATCACAGAAGTATTCACCTATCAGAACTAGAAGATGGAAGGATGGCAGAGAGAAGGGAACAGAAAGCTGTCAAGTGGTGATTTGGGACCTCTGTCCTAATAAAAATGCCTTGTACTTACATACTCCTTTTGCTGCACCCTCCCCGCCCCCTCCCATTGTCATAATCACTGGCAGAGGTGCACCAGCTGTCTCATGGGTGAGGGCATTTCTCCACGGCAGGCCTACCCAAGCCCTTCAGTGCATCCACTCAAAGGTCACCTACTAAACTCGTTTGTTTATACTTTAACAGCAGATTCCTACTATTTTTGCTGACGGAATTAGCAATCATAACTGCTCAGGATGGTGATGACTGCCAAGAATCAGAAGAGTAATAATCCTGACTTAGATTCAATTTGGGGGCGCTTTGGAGTTCACAAGGTGTTTTCACATTCCAGCATCACAGAGAGACCTGCTCCTTAGCACAGAACATTGCCCTGGGCCACTGAGGTTGCAACTGCAAGCCTTTCCTTTTTTCTTTATTCTTCTCATTCCCAGCCAGCTGTGAAACCTTGTGTGCCAACAAAGCTCTGTCATTTCCAGCAAAAACACAGCTGAACCTGTGTCCCCCTGTGGTTGGGGTTGAGCACAACTAAAAGGGCCTCCAAAAGGCAAATGCAAGCACGGCCTGGCAATCACAGTCTTTCCACTCCGCCTACTTAAAAGCCCTTGGTTGATCTCCGAGGCCTTTGATGCTATCTGCATAAGTCAGAAAAGGAGGTGCTCAGGGCCTGAGACTTTCAAACAGCAACTTGCCTGACAAACTCACACATTTTTCGAGGCCTCAACTCATGGGACCTTTTGTCCTCTTCCTAATCAGGAGAGACCGACTCCATCTGACCAAGCCATCTGCTCCCCAAAGCAAGGCTCAAGGCTGCACCCCAGCCTGGTGGTGTCAACTCAGAGATGCTAAGGAAGACGTGTGTTCTCCTCTGCCTCCCCTAGAAATCACCCTGCAAACCCACTGAAGGCCAATGATGAAATGTCCAGGTTGTATTGCAAACAACAGCGAGACAAAACTTTAATCCTAAAGGGACAGTTTGAAATCCCAGTTTCCCATCCCCCTCACCATGCTGACCTCTCACCTGTGTTCTGCTTCATGAAATCCCAATGTGGCATTTCTGGAGGGCTTCCTTGAACCCGTGCAGAGAAAGCTGAGTGATGGGGCACAGTGTGAGCCTGGTTACAAAGCCCCCTATTCTCCAGTTGCTGATTTCTAGTCCTCTTGGGCAAATGCCAATTGCTAAGTGAAACAGCACTCAGGGTGGTGTGTCAGGAATGCTCTGTGTAGCCATAAAATACCTAAGATGTGGTTCATAAAATATTTGGAGGGTGCTAGTAGGAAGCATGGCTAGGCTACCTCAAAGCAACTTGTTTTATACAAGCTCATATACACACATATCTACAGAAAACATCATAGTGTATGTATAAATGGCATATCTATATTCAGACACGGTACCTGAATTTCCAACAAGCATCAAAAGGATTAAATTGCTTTGGTGAGGTCTCTTACAAAAATTGGATATTTACTGCTGCTAGTATCTGTAACAATTTTCAGGCACTAGCATTACCTAACACCAGCTTTCCTAGTTCATTGCACAGAGATATATAAAGTTTCTTAGGATCTGTCCATTTAAACTAGAAGTCGTTAGCTATTTTTAATGCTGTAATTTGGATTCAAGACGTAAAAAATACATCTCAGGCACTGAAACATGGCCTGACCACACTGTAGCAAGTAATTCTGCAATTCTCAGTGACTGCGGGTAGCCGTGGGGAGACAGGCATCTCCTCGGACAAGCCTCTCCTTCAGGGCGTGTGTCACAGGGAAACGGAACCAGGGGTAAAACTTCCTGCTGAGGCTCGGAGGTCTAAGGTTTGCTCCTTCTCTGTCCTGCCCCTGTCCTTTATGCCTACCTCCAGCTAAGCGGGTACTGGGGAGGGTGGGGACCATCCTGGGAGTGCCTTGCAATGGCCATCTTCCCATCTTCTACCATGTTCTTTCTGACGGAAGAAATGGCCACCTGCTCCTGATACTCTGCGTGGAAGCTGCCGCAACTGCACACCACACCCTCCTCTCCCACACAGTTGTCCTGGGGAAATCATGTCAGCACCAGGTGCAGGACCCTCAGAACCTCTTGGCCAAACTCTTTCCTTAGGCTTCTCCATCCACAGCCCAGCATGGCCTTTCTTCCTAAAAGAAACCCGCCAATCCAGGCACTGACTGTAACCTCCCCCGTTACGGTGACGGCAAAATGGTGCACACACCCACGGGTGCACACCCTCCTTACTGAGAGGCAGTGCCAGGAGCAGGGGGTGCAGCTTAGATCTACGTGCATTTCAATCCACACTCCACCACTCACCACTCTGCATGGGAAGTTACTTAACCTCTCTCTGCCTACGTTTCCACACCTGTAAACTGGGGCTATCAGCACCTCCTGAGAGCAACAGTGAGGATTCTGTGAGATTATACACAAACCACCAAGAAGAGTGCCTAGTCCTATTACTCAATCAAAAATTTTTTCTGAAACAAATTAAAATTAGTGCTTCCTGTTGAACATGGTAGATTGAACATGTGATCATTTTTCTCTTCAAAGCTCCACTGATATAAGAAGAAATAATTAAATGGCATATACCCCCAACAACACAAAAAGTAGGAGAAGTGACAATGCAAAAGACGTCTCTGCTTCTTTAGAAAATGGGAAGTAGATAAAGGAGTGAGCAGAACAGAGAAAGGTTAAGTAGGGGGCACCCTTGCAGAGCCATGGAGTCCCAGAAACGCTGGGGAATTGGAAGCACCAGGTTCTGCAGAGGTGGGGAGGGGTGCAGGGCTGAAAGCAGAGGGACTGGCTGAAATGCATAAAGAGGTCATTCCACCCCAGGTCCTCTCTCCTGGCTGGGGCTTCCAGATGACCACCTCCTTCCCCACCACAGCATGAGAGGACAGGTTCACTCTGTGGAAGCCCCAGACTCGGAGAAAACGAAAAGCCTTAGAGAAAAGCCCTATAGATGTGGACATTAGGGAACCACCTCCCACATTCCCCTACCTCCTATCCTCAGTAAAATGGCTGAATCTCAGCCCAGTCAATTTTCAGGATTGCCCAGGAATAGATAAGACCCACCCATGAACACAGAGCTTCTCTGCTTGTCTCAGTCTTAACTGCAATGGTCAAGGAAGCCCCCAATTTGAAAGGCAACCTATGAGGAAATACAAAACAATATAGAAAGAAAATACTATAATTAATATCCTCAGAGATACAAGAGAATATAATGCATCTACGAAACAAGAACAGAATGCTGTTTTAAAAGGAAACAGAGGAAGAGTTCCTTATCATTAAAATATGGTAGCTGAAAAGCTTCAACAAAAAAACCTGGAAAAAAAGTTATGGAAATCCCTCAGAAAAGACAGCAAAAAAGCACAGAGAAAGAAAACTGGAGAGAAAAGATAAGAACATTTAAGGATCAGGAAAGGAGTGCCAGCATCCTACTTATAGAAAATCCAGAAAGAAAAGAGAAAAATGAAGAGAAGGAAATCATCGAAGAATATTTTTTAAATTCCCAGAAATCAAAGGCATGAGTCTCCAAACTGACAAGGCTATAATAAATGAAGAGACCCCATACCATCTACCTTATTGGGGAATTTCAGAGAACCAAAGATAAAGAGAAAATCTGGGGAGAGGCTGGGTCACATATGAAAGACTAGAATCAGGGTGACATCATACTTCTTATTAGCAAAACTAGAAGCTGGAAGACTACAGAGTAATGCCTTCAAAATTATGAGGGAAATTTTTTAAAATTTTTTATTTCCGTAGGTTTTTGGAGAACAGGTGGTATTTGGTTACATGAGTAAGTTCTTTAGTGGTGATTTGTGAGATTTTGGTGCACCCATCACCCAAGCAGTATACACTGAACCCCACTTGTAGTCTTTTATCCCTCACCCCCTTCCTACCCTTTCCCCGAGTCCCCAAAGTCCTACCCTTTCCCCCTGGGTCCCCAAAGTCTCTTGTGTCATTCTAATGCCTTTGCATCCTCATAGCTTAGCTCCCACTTATGAGTGAGAACATACAATATTTGGTTTTCCATTCCTGAGTTACTTCACTTAGAATTATAGTCTCAATCCCATCCAGGTTGCTGCAAATGCCATTAATCCATTCCTTTTTATGGCTGACTAGTACTCAATCATATATATATATACCACAGTTTATTTACCCACTTGTTGACTGATGGGCATTTGGGTTGGTTCCACATTTTTGCAATTGTGAATGTGCTGCTATAAACATGTGTATGCAAGTATTTTTTTTCATATAATGACTTCTTTTCCTCTGGGTAGATACCCAGTAGTGGGATTGCTGGATCAAACAGTAGTTCTACTTTTAGTTCTTTAAGGAATCTCCACACTGTTTTTCTTAGTGGTTGTACTAGTTTACATTCCCACCAGCAGTGTAGAAGTGTTCTGACGGAAATGATTTTTAACCTAAAATGCTATGCTTTGCCAAGTTATCAGTTCAGTGTGAACAAAAGGCATTTCGAACAGCCAAATCTTAAAATATTTACCCCATATCTCTTTTCAGTCAATTTTCAGTAATGCCCAGGAATAGACAAGACCCATCCATGAACACAGGGCTTCTCTTCTTGTCTCAGTCTTAACAATAATGGTCAAGGAAGCCCCCAATTTGAAAGGCAAACCATGAAGAAATATAAAACAATACAGAAAGAACAAGCAGTCATTAATACCCTCAGAGACACAAGAAAGCTAGTAAAAGATGTGCTCCATTGATTTAGGGCATAATCTAAGAAATGAGAAAACACAGATTCAGAAAACAGAGAATCTAACACGAAGCAGTCAAGCATCAAGATAACCAGGCAGCAAACCTAGCGAAGAGTCAGTCCCAACTGAGACGGTGATCAGAGGGCTCTGAGAAGAATGTCTACAGGGAAAAAGGAGATTTGCTAGATTACTTGTTGCACTTGACAAATAGGAAATGGTGTTAAGAAAAATTTTTAATTCTTTGGTCGATTTCGGGAAGAATTCATTATACTGTAGAAAGAAAATATTGCAAAGCAACAACAAAGTGATTGTTGACTCCTGACAGAACAAAAAGTTGTTTAAAAAAAAAAAAGAAAACGTCATTATAGTAGACTTTTTGGCCCAGGAGTAATAAGTATGTACAAAGCCAAGATGTAAATAATGACAGGCATGCGCCACCACGCCCAGCTAATTTTGTGTTTTTTAGTAGATACGGGGTTTCTCCATGTTGGTCAGGCTGGTCTCGAACTCCTGACCTCAGATGATCTGCCCGCCTTGGCCTCCCAAAGTGCTGGGATTACAAGCGTGAGCCACTGTGCCCGGCCAATAATGACTATCATTTTAAACAACAATTGGGAGACAACTACCTTGAGAGAAAGAAGAATGGGAAATGGGGAAGGAAACTGTCGTCATTCCCCATATTAAGAAATCAATAGGTAATAGCTACAATTTTTAGTATCTAAATTTTATAAATCAAAAAATATCAGTATAAGCAATTATCAAGAAACATGAAGGTAGCCGCATGACCAGTCAGAAGTATTGGAAGTGGCTGCCTCTGAGGCGTGAATAGCACTCAGGACTGGAAGCACAGCACAGAGACTGCTCTTTCTCTTCTGAAATCTTTGTCCAGAGGTCATGGTTTCTGTGCTTAGTAGAATTCATGCCTGTGTCTTATTTAACAGGTAAGAATTTTGGTAAATTCCTCTATGGACTTGTATGAACTGGCTTCATTTATGCAGTAGTATCTGGGTGACTGTAACAGAGAGCTTTAATCCTTTTTTTTTTAAGGGACTTGACAAAATTCACAAAGCTGATGTTCCAAGTGTGCTTGGAACCCAGCTCTTCTGGCTCCAAATCAAATGCTAATTCTATCTCAGCGAGTCCTATCACAGCATCTGGCACATTAGAGGTGTTCAAAGAGTATCTGGTGAAATGTGATGATTATGCCATACTCATGACTCCAGCCCACCTTGAACAGCCCAGAAACTCTCCCTTGAAGCCCATGGAACCTGGTGAGAGCTGGCCACTAAGATGGTGGAAAAGGACACCACCACCAGCTTTCCCACAGGAAGTACTTCATAAGTACTCTTCATACTTTGTCGTTAACTTGTTTTCTCCTACTGTACACTGGATAACGGTATGAGCTGTATCTCTCACAGGCACCGTAATTTGTTCAGTTCTCAAAATCAGCAGAATGCATAAATGAATGACATTTTGTAGAGCTCAAGTATTAGTTGAATAAATTAATGAATGCCACCTTACAGAGTTCAAATGTTAGTAGAATGCATGAAGAAATGAATGCCACCTTGCAGAGCTCAAATGTCAGTAGAATGTGTTAAGGAATGAATGATGTCTTCCATTGCTCAAACGTCAGTTGAATGTATGAAGGAATGAATGTCACCTTACAGAGCTCAAATGTTAGTACAATGCATGAATGAATGAATGAATGAATGAACGGCACTTTATAGAGCCTACCCACAGACTGTGTTGAGTGGATGAAACCTCAGATGTCTAAATTTAGCTTGAGGTGTGAGGGAGAAATATATCTAAGTAATGAACTCCTGTAAATACGGGTGGGGAGGTAATGGAAGTTCTTGCTGCAATTGGGTGTTAATAGCAGAAGCTCTACTGCAACCTAACACCAGGGGAGTAAGCCATCTGTTCAAAAGGTGGCAATTAGGACACCGCAGCCTGGAAGCCCAGACTCCAGTGCCTGCTTCTGTGAGCTGTGTACCAAATCGTCAGGACACATTGTCCCCTCCCTCACCTGTGCCCACTGCATAGTCACCGACTACATGGTCAGTTTACAGAGCCATCCCTCAGGGTGGCTTTTGTTCTCAAGAGGAAGGGCTGCTGTTTTTAGTATAAACAGAGGCAAAAACAAGGGAGGCTTAGAGGGAGAAAATGAGGCCAAAGCACACCAAACCCCTTAAGAAAGACATGAGGAACCCTCAGGGTCTGACAACTGGAGGCCACCCAGCCCTCTGGGCAGAGCCTCTTTCTCAAGCAAGACTCAATCTGTTCTACTCAAGGTTTCTGGACTCCTAGGGAATAATTGAGCTATTTTTTATTTCTTTAAAAAGGTGAATGGAAATAGTACATTTATCCAGGACAGATCTGCCAGGCTAATGCAAAAATTCAGGTTTCTTTGACTGGATTGGAAACACAGTGCAGTGAAAAAACTTCCCCCATGTTGAACACAGTGATATTTATGTAAACGTACATGTTTCACCAAAAATAGAGACACAAATTAACCATCGCTTCATAAAGGCAGTCAGGCTTTTTTAAAATGGAAGGTCAGTGGACTGAAAATAATACAAGGGACCCCGAGGAGTGAGGCCGGGAGCCGCTGTTCTCAGCCGAATTTCTGGGTCCTCTGCTTTGTCATCAGATCCCCCAGGGCTGCACAAGTACCCAGGGAACCTTCAGCCATTTAGTACAACTGAAAAAATGAAAGAAACAAAATGGGGGAAGCGGCCAAGACTGAGGCAGGAGAGAGGCAGGGTGCGTGTCACAGAGGGCTTTGTGTGCTATGCTTTGGAGTTTCTATCTCCCCCTGCAGCAAGGGGCACTCAGCAGTAAAAGGATGCAATCAAATATGTGTTTTGGAACAACTCTGTTCACCACAAGGAGGATGAGCTGGAAGGGGGCAATGCCAGAGGCAGATAACCCACCAGGAAGCTTTTCCAGCAGTCCAGGAGTAGCTGGAAGAGAGGCTGGATAAGAGCATGGGGAGAAGGGGTGATGCACTTATGCGAGGAAACTGCTGGGACAGGCTGCGCATGCAGCTGCAGGGTGGCTCCAGGCCTCTGATTTGTAGGATGAGGCAGATCTTAATGCCATTCACTGAGATGGGGAACATGGAGGGAGAGGCAATCTGAGGGAAGAATATAACTGTTTTAGACAAGCTGAGATATGTGGAGAACAACTCAGAGATGTCCAGTAAGCACTTGCATCTATGTCCTCATCAGAACCAGGAAAAAATCTGAGCAGGAGAAATACATCCAGTTCCAGGTGGTAATTCAACTCACAAGGGGAGATGAGGTCACGTGGGAAGACTGTGTGGTGAGAGATGGGAAGAGGCCAAGACAGAACTCCAGGGAGAGTGTAGGAGGAAAAGCAAAGGAGACCAGCAAGGACTGGTTAGAGGAAGAAAAAGCAGAAGGGAGTAATATCCTGGCAGTCACAGGAGGAGACCGTTTCAAGAAAATGAAGTAGCCAAGTGCTACAAAGAGGCTGAGAAAGAGGAGAACTGCAAGACCCATTGTGCACATGAGTTTGGTGTTTGCGTGTCTCTGAAGGTGACATTTACCAGGATAATTTCAGAGGAACGATGGGGGTGGAACCATATTGCTGTGGGTTGAACAGTGAGTCGGAGATGAGGAAAGAGACTAAATGTGGACTATTATCTCTAGGAGCTCAGCTGTGGAGGGAGGAAAATGTCAGGGCAGGGCCAAGATCAAGGGAAGGTTCATTTGAGAGGGGAGAGGTTGTATACATTTGCCTGCAGAGAATGAGCCAGCGGGGCAGGGGTGGGACAGGACAGAGGGACCCATCCCTCCAACCCGCCATCTCCCTTCTCACCTGCCATGCTCCCAAAGTCTAATCCCTGCCCCCGCCAGGTCCCTGTCAGATCTGGTGTGAGACTGAGGGAGTCACTGCAGCAGGGTTAGCAAACCTAGAGAGCCACCCATCAGAATCTCACGACACCTTTTAATGGTATGATTTCTGTGATCCTCCCAGATCTACCTTCTCAGCGTCTATGGGGGCAAGGCCGAGGAATCGTCTTTGCAGAAGTTCCCTAGAGATTTCTGAGGCATTCAGACACCACTAACTCAACAAGCTTCATGTGTATACACCTGAGGCCCCTCAGGAAGCAGAAGGCTGGGCCCCGGCTCCCCCAGGACTGGCTGGGCCTGAGGCCCACCGACCACTTTTCCGCTTACACACACTGAGCTGTTTCCAACAGTCTGAAAGGCAGACACTAATTTGCCAAGTTGAAGAAAAGGGGGCTCTCATTCCACCGGCTCCGCTCTGGCAGAACCACGACACTCAACTCCTTATCTCCTTATCTCCTTAAAGCCGTCTCCTTTACACAACAGGCCAGGAAGAATTGTGGGGAATCAAGCCCTGGAAGCAGCTGCTCCAATCGCATTCCCTGACAAAGACCACACGCAGCCAAATCCTGCAGGAGCATTGTGGCTGGTGCCATGGGCTTCAGTCTAGGCCCAGCACCCTGAAAAAAGCAGAATAACACCCAGAAGTTAAACACCCCATTGTCTGAGAACTAGGGAGGCTCATGTGTGCCCATCACTTCTTTGTTCAGACAGCTCAGCTCTTGTGAAATTGGTCCCATCTCCTGGAACAGACAAGAATCCAGGCACTGGCCTGTCCATTCTTCTGAGGGGGCAGAGGGCACAGATGGGCATCTGATAGATACAAAAAGATGCCCTGACCCAGTGAGACCTCTGCTTGGGGTGCAGAGCTGGGCCAGCACTCCATGCTGCAGCTGCAATGAAAAATGAGTCACCTTTGTGTTAGAGAAGAGACAGGAAAAGTGTCCTGGAGAAGGGAAGGCTTTGAGAGTAGTGTGCCACAATCAAAGGTAAGGAAGGAGCTGTCAACACGCAGTCCTTTCCATCCCTGCTAATCCAAAAGCAGCTTCTGTCCGCAGTCATGATATTCAGCCTGCTTTGACAGCTGGGGAGCTGGGTTTAGAGGCTCCAGGCAAAAGATCCAGGTAGAGGTCAGGTGAGCTCTTTCCCACAGGAGGGGAAATGTGTCCCTTCTCAGCCCTGTGATCTAGTTAGACAGGTAGTCAGAGAGACAGAACACATGCAAACAGGCCCTCACTGATAGAGAGTATGTCAAAGGCTGCTGAACTCCCCGGAGGAACATCTCTTAAATCTCTATTGTTTCAGAAATATAGTAAGCACTTAGCTGAAACTGACCTCTAGAAAAAGACACACTTGACCTCATCCACCTAATTCCCTCTGTGTTACACATATTCGTTTAATGTGGTTTGCATGTTAGGTGCCGATTGTTCTAAGAGAGAATAAAAGCACCTTGATTGCTAAAATACACATGTTTGATATGGAAAGTCCTAAAGCTTTCTTCCTCCTCTCGAAACAGATACTGTAATAATCTGGTGTTCTTTGGGGAGGTGTTTTTATTTTTCTTTTTGTTGCTGCTGTTGTAAATTTTTTATGAAGCCCAAAGGTAACAAGAACTGTGATGGTGCTGGGCCTGCCTGGTACTCCTGTCATGGGGTGCCCATCTGTCCCCCACTATAACATGGGAACCCGAAAGGCAGAGCCAGATGCCTGTCTGGGTACTTGGCAGTCCACAGGCACTGCTGCAATTAGCAAGCTGGATCATGATTCAGCATCTGACGCGGGCAGCCTCCACCAGAGCATAGCGGACAGCTTAAAAATAGCAAAGCCACGGCTGCATCTCTCTAGCCCAGGCTCCACACGAGGCAGGGCAGCTGCCGCCAGCAGAGCCTGGAGAGGGTCCCACCTCCCACCCACCCCCTCTCTGTCCTCCCCAGATCCACCTTCCAGCTGTGAAGGCTGAGTGGGAAGCAGAAGGGGCCGGCTCCCATCAAGCTCCCCCACGCAGAACACCCGATGCAGAAATGCCAGCGGTCTCCAGATCCACTGACGGGGCACCCAAGTGTTCTCAGGTTCAGGTCTTGTTTTAAATACACAAACGGAGGGACAATCAGCATGGCTCCCCCATGCCTCAGGCACCAAAACAACTGCACACGCAGCTACAACCACAGGGGTGCTCCCAACTCCCCCTTCCCAGTTAGTGACCAGTGGTGAGGGTGGGTGTGTCTCCCAGCCTGAAGAAGAGAATGGAAAGAGGCGGACTTTGTGCTTGGAGAGGCCTGGGTACAAACCCATTTCACCCATCTGCCAACAGAGACCACCATGCCTCCTGCTTGCCTATCACCACCCCCATCTGCGCCAAGTTAAGTAACTTCTCGGGGCCTCAGAGTCTGGTATGAAACAGAGCTAAAGATCGCTCATTGGCTGGTCACGTCGAGTGTAAATGAGGCAACAGGCAAAGCACTGAGGAGGGTGCCCAGCCCAGACGAGTCTCCAAAAATAAACATCCCTTGCCTTTCCTATTTCCTTCCTAGTCATGGCTGAGGTCTGCCCTGGTGGACCACAGCCACAGTGAAACCAGGGCTAGGAGGACAGGCGGGGGCCTGGGTACCCAAGACAGAGATCCTCAAAGGGCCCTCAGTGTCCTACTGTTTCTCTAGTGTTCACTGAAGTCATGTTCTCTAGGTCAGTGATATTTTGTAGATGAAACTGCAATGTCCTCAGGGCTGATGTTGTCTTTAAAAATGTTCTTTCTACCCAGGAACCCAAAAGGAGATTTAAAATAATGGAGAGGGTTGCCATTTTTCTGAGAATACTATTATTGAATAGATGTCCCTTCTCCCCAAATTAATCTACAAAATTAACAAAATGATTCCACAATTTATCTGGAAGAGTGATTTCATAGGACTAGCTGAGAACATTTTGAAAATGAAGAGTAATGAGTGGGGATTTGCTCTATCTGATTTTAAAAGGTACAAGTAGTAAAATAGTGTGGTTCTGGCACAGGAAGAGACATCAAATCAATGGAATATAACAGAAGGCCAAGAAACAGACCCAAATATCTATACAATGTTAGTATATTATGAGGGTGTTATTTCAAAACATTGGGAAAAGGATAGACTATTCAATAAATACTGTTGGTACAATTGGCTAACCATCTGGATAAAAATTAACAATATCCTTACATTTCCCAGCACGCAAATTGACTAAATGTTTAAGTATAACAAATAAAATATGAAAAATACAGGTGACTATGTAAATAACCTTGGGTTGGCAAAAACTTTCTAAGCCTAATACCAATACCGGTTTCTCTATGGCAGAAACCATAGAGAAAAAAAGTTGACTGCATTATCATCAATGCAATTAAAGGCCAGTAAAAACTGCAAGAATGAACATTGTTGATATGTGAAAGGTCAAATATTTGAAAAGAGTTTTACAAATGAATAAGAAAAAGATAAAAACATTAGCGGAAAAACAGACAAAGAACATAAGCCCAGAATTCAAAACAATAAACACAAATAGCCAATAAAAAGAGGAAGGCTCTCTACACTCCAGGCACACTGGCCTTCTTTCAGGTTCTTGAACATTCTATGCTACCTCCCAACAGAAGACCTCTGTGCTGGCTGTTCCCTCCACTGAGAACACACTCTCCCTTGATCTTCACCTGGTTCAAATCTATCACCTCTCCACGCAAAGCTAACTTTTACCGGAAGCCTTCCTTGAGCACCCCGCCCAGCTGGACCAAGTGAGATTCTCCTTCTTCTCCCTCATAAGCTCTTTCAAAGCTAAGTTGCTTTCCTTCATGGCACTTTTTACAGCTTGTACTTATTTTTGTGATTATTGGATTGTTTATCTCCCCCACTGGACAAACTGCCTCTGTTTTTGCTGACCAGTGCATGTGCAGCACGATGGTGAAAAAAATTATAGGGTATGCACAAAATAGAATACAATACGGTGAGTTACAATGATGCTCTAAAAGATTTATTTTTAAAAGATTAATAAAAATATGATATATTGTTAAGTAATACAAGTAGGTAACAAAACAATGTCTATATACTATTTGGGGGGAGAATGAAGATATATAGAAAAGAGACACACATCACTTTTCTAACAGAGGGTTAGTGTGACATTTATTTTGTTAACGTTGCTCATCCATATTTTCTAAAAAATTCAACAATGAATATGCATACATCTGCATATATATAGCTGCTTTTAATAAGGGAAAAAGCTTAAACCTAGCTATGGTTTCCCTCTGTAAACCCGTGAAGTCCCTGTGCAACTGCTGTAGGAACCACAGTGTGTTCCCTTTCCTTATCTTCTCCCTGACCCTTCTCCACCCTTCCAGCTTTATTTCCACCACCAACAGAGTACGAGAACATGGCCCAGATCCAAACCAACGTGTCAACCTCTGTTGAGCCACCTCCAAGTCCCAAGTTAGCCATTTTCAGGAAATAAAAACTAAATGTATGAGCACACAGCACTTTAGGAAAACCTGAGACTTCCACTAAATAGCTAGATTCCCAAAAACAGTTAAAATGGAATGTGAGTCATAATTTTTCAGAAACCTGTCTATGCTTAGCCTTCAGAACTGTCTTCTCAATAAATATATACAGACAGCCTGACCACCTAAGAAAACGGAGCAAGGGCATTTGCAGGTTTTAATACTGCACAGCAAAGATCATTCTGACAATATTTCAAAGAGATGGGTGATGTGTTTGGCATACATGGTGTACAAGATAAGCAAGATCTAGGGAGGCAACATTGTCGGGTGCTAGGGATAGAGTGGAAATGGCACCCAGCCTCTCAGATGAGTGTCTCACACAAAAATAAATTTTGTGAGTGTTCAATTACCTCCACCTGCCTGGCGCAGTGAACATGGTAAGGCTGTGCTGATGTTGCACTCTCCTGGGGTCTCCTTTCTTGAGAATAACAGTGGTCTGCTTATTTGTAGCTAAGGGAAGAGCCACTTTGCACTTAATGCACTGAAGGAATTGCTCAAGGACTGCTCACCCCCGAGAAAAGCTTAGCCTTGAAGGGCTGCCAAGGACAATGTTCGCTTTCCTTATCAGTGTGGGTTCAGTAGGTTCAGTCTGGTCACAGTGAGACTCAAACTTCAACTCCAGAAAAACTCTCCACCACTTCTCATGTTTTCCACACTCCGCAGCCCTCATTTAATCGGGATGGACATTTCCCACTGGGGACTGAGTGTGCTCTTCCTAAATCCAAGCAGGCCGCCCTAACATGATATGTACACGTGGAGGGTAGGCAGATTGCTTCCTTGGGCCCATCTGGACAGTTTTCCTGAGTTCAGAACATTTAGCACTCCTTGTTATGTTCAAGGCTGGGAATTTGGAAGCTAAAAGAAAAACAGATTCTGCAGAAATAATCGAAACTTCCTCTCTGGCCTCTCTTCACTTTCATTTATAACTTATCTACCCTCTCCTTCTCTACAGCTCATTGCTCTTACTTAAGGGAAAACTAAAGTTAATATAAGTAATTTGTTATTAAGTCTACATATACACTATTCCTGTCACACACTGTAAAGAAAATAGATAATTGGACATTGTGGTAACACCAGTGAGGATAACTTACATTGAAGTGGTGCTCACAAACATACAGTGAAAATGCTGTCCCCAAAGTCACTCATGAGCTGAGAACACGAGGTGGTCTTTCATTCTCATGGATCCCCCCAACCCCTTCAGAGGTCCGCACCACTAACCCCCTCTCTGAAACCCTCACATCCCTGGCTTTGGTAATGCTGTATCTTGGCTCCCCACCAATCTCTGTGAATATTCTCTTGGTATCTTGTGAGGAAACTGAGGCAAAGAGAGGTTCAAGGACATGTCCAAGATCATGTGCTTATTAAGAGATGGAGCCAGGGTCCAGATCCAGGCCCTGACGCTCCCTCTGATCATGCGCTTATTAAGAGATGGAGCCAGGGTTCAGATCCAGGCCCTGCCGCTCCCTCTCCTGCATCCCTCAGGGGGATCCCTCACAGTCCCTGTGTCCCTCAGTCCTCTCCCAGGACCACTACTGAACACTGATTATAATTACCGCTGCCCATGAGATGGTTCCTACATCACATTTATAACGCCGACGTCCGGCTTTCTATCACTTATTCTCAAATGCCTGCTGGGCAATTCCACCTGCATGTCAAAATTTAAGTATCTTAAGACCAAACTCATCATCTTTCTAAAATAAGCTTTTCTTCCTGACATCTCCATTGCAGTTAATGACTCCATGCTTCTTCTCTCTCATGCCTACACTAGAAACCCCTGGCTGCAACATCTTCCTTGGTCTGCCCTCTGCCCTCCAGAATTCAGCCTTTGAAATGTGCACCCTGGCTTTCTCTGCTGCCAGTACCTCCTCCGGGCCTTCAGCACCTCTCACCTGGAGCTCCTCCTCCTGGCTACTAGCTTCCATGTCTCCCTTCAGCCTCCCCTGCCTACTGCAGCAGCCAGGCCAATCACCCTAGGGCAGGGTTGCTCAGAGTCAGCCCTACGGACACTTGAGGCTGATCATTCTCCGTTGTAGAGGCCGTCCTGTGCATTTTAAGATGTTTCACAGCATCCCTGGTCTCCACCCTCTAGACAGTCGTAGCACACACCCTCTATTCCATCCGCTTACCCCAAAACCAAAATTGTCTTCAGACATTGCCAAATGTCCCCTGGGGGACAAAATCACCCCATTTGAGAACCAAAACCCTAACGTATGACTTAAACATGCTCCTCCGTTCAGAAACTCTCAGTGGCTCGTCGATGGCCTCCTGAGGAATCAATAAGAAGAAAATAGTTTTCAAAGATTAGGAAATTCATTTTCCTATTTATGATTTCCTTTCTCTTGAGGTTCTGGGCTTAACCACATTTGGGCTAGGGTTCAAGGCGTACTGCAGAAAGAAGGTCAAAGAGGAAAAGCAGATGACGTTAGCTGGCAAATCCATCCACGGTGTTACATCCCAAACTCCCATGGCTGAGTGCCCCCCAGCCTGGAAGCAGTGAGGCAAGGAGAGATGAATACCTCAGCAGGCTCCAGGGCCAGATGGCTTGAATTTGGGACCCAGCCCCACCACTTCTAATTCTAGGACCCTCAACCTACCCTTTAGCCTCTCTCTGCCCCAGTTTCCTCATATGAAAATAGGAATGAAAACGGTACCTAATTCATAAAGCTGCTGTGAGGCTCAGTGACTTCATTTATGTAAAGCACTTCAAAAGTGCCTGGTATGAACAAGTAATTGATAAATGCTACCCATTAATATTATTACTATTGTTACTACATTTCTTGCTATATTGCTGGTCTGTCTCCAAAACATGCCCTTGGTCCAGGCCAAAGTCAGTCCTTCCCTGGCCATGAACCTATCTTATGCTTGCCCCAGCAAGGCCCATGTTCATGTTCTTTCTGCTAAAACCCCCTGCAGTTCACTTCGTCCTGTTGAAATTTCACAAATATTTTTTTTCATTCAACAAATGTCTATTAAGCTCCTACTTTTTTTTTCTGTGTGAATGTTATTTTTCTTTTTTAAAAAATGCTTTTTAATTTTTGTGGGTACATAGCAGGTACATATATTTATGGGGTACATGAAATGTTTTGATACAGGCAAGCAATAAGCAATATGGAAAATTGGGCATCCATCCCTTCAAGCATTTATCCTTTGTGTTATAAACAATCCAATTACACTTTTTTAGTTATTTTGAAATACACAATTAAATTACTTTTGACAATAGTCACCCTGTCGTGCTATAAAATACTAGGTCTCATTCATTCTTTCCAATAGTACATTTTGTTTGTACCCATTAACCATCCGCACTTCCCTCCTACCCTACCCCGCCTCCCCTTCCCAGTGCAGACGTCTTTCAAGGCCTAACTTAAATGTCATCTCTGTCACAAATTCTCCCCTCTTCACAGTGAGAACAATCTTTCCCATTCCTGAATGCCACAACCCTCTGATTATGTGCCCAACATCTTATGTCATGATTGTAGATGACAGAATCACTTCCCAGCTAAATAAATCCCAGCCCCTACAGTAGAAGCCACTATTGGGGGATCAGTAGATCCCCTATAGAAGCTGACATAGAGTGCCTTAATTATTTCATGCACGCATTTAAGTGAGAATTACTATGTACTTCCGAAGTACTTGGTAACTTAATGCTCAAATGCATCCATGAAATAATTAATCTAAGGCGCTATTTTACAATAAGTAAATAAAGGCTTGTGTTCTGAGTCATACCTACTGTAAATACTTTTCCTCGTATTATCTCATTTAATCCACATAACCCTCAGGAGGTGGATCCTGTTGTGATGATTCCCAGTTGTCTGGAGGAAAGCAAATGATGTTATAGAGAAGCCCCATCTGAGAGAACATATTGGGGTCCCTGTCCCAGCTCTGCCACTAACCAGTTGTGAAACCAGCACCTCACTCTACTTTCTGGGCCTTCATTTCCTCATCGGTAATTAAGGCAACCTCTATGGCCCCTTCAGCTCTAACATAACAAACCCCAAGCCCAGACTGAGTGGACTACAGATCTAAGCAACAGGAACATTCATTACGCTTCTAATATTCAAATGGAAAAAAAAAAAACTTTGTTCATATGCAACTAAACCATCCGTTTAGAACACTAGAAGCAGTAGCATAATCACAGTTATCAAGTCCATAATGCTTCAATATGTCATAACAACATGCTGAATTACAGAGATAACTGAGACAAAAGCACTGTTTTTGCCTGTTTATTGGAATATTTCTCATTCTGCTCATATTTTCAGCGGGAAAAAATAAACATGAATTTTTTTCCACTCATAATTTTCTATAATAACTCAGGCTTTTGAATCTTACCTATCATTCATCTCTGACTCTCCCATCCTGCCTAGCACAGTGCCTTGCATGTAACAGACTCCACATATATTTGCTGATCAGTCTACCTGTTCTATATCTATTTATTCTTATGCCATGTAGACAGAAGCCACTTTGTAAGAAGTTTCCAAGCCAGTTGTGGCAGGAAACTTTTCTAAATTGCAGGATGTTTTCAATTGCCTTGGTGGGTGAAGGGTTAAATTAAAGGGACAGCTCTGATGCCTACCAGTCCAAATAGAGTTGCTGGCCAGCACTGCCCACTTTTTCTCTTTAGGCCTCCCCGGTACACTACCAACCCTAGCCTAAAGGTGCGTAAGCCCAAAACCTCAATCTCTTGAGAACTGTTTCCTTCTCTTTGTGACCTGTATCAACAGTTTAGGTACAGACTTACTCTAAGCAGTTTGTTCTAAGCTTGTGATTTTTTTTAAAAGCTTTCTGGGTTAATGAACCCATCTGAGATTCTGCTGAAAGCTACAAACCCACTTCAGAGAAATGCATATACAAGTCTTCATACATGTTCAGGTGTGGGGCTGGGGGACGGTTCAGAGACCTCCAGGAGCTGGTCCATGGGCATGAAGCTCAGAAGCTCTGGGAGGTGCCAAGCAGAGAGGGGCAAGCAAGGAGACTGAGACCACAATGGATGCGGCCACTATGCTGTCTGCCAGGAGGCATGAGGCTCCTTCTCCAACAAAAAGGCCATCAAGTCTCATAACATGGGCCTGTTAGAATGGCACCAGCACCAAACCTGGACTCACGAATCATTCAGAGGTTTTAACTTTAAATATCAGAGAAAGAAAAAAGAACAAAGAAAATGTTTTGAGTAGGAGAGAAGAAAATGTCCCTTAAAAGATAAATTCAAAATGACTTAAAAATATATATATATGTGATGGCCTCCAGTTACTATGGATATTAACTCATCACTTCTCCGCAGGCTACCTCCCCATAATAATTCAATATTTACCTGACCTAAACCAGGGTGGGCTCAGCGGATGGCCTGGGGCACCACTTGCAATTGATTTTTAGTGGCCAGCAGCTGTAATCGAATAATGTGAGTGTCTAGCAGTAGTTTGATTAGATTAGAGCAAATGTTATGGCCCTGTAATTTGGGAAATTCTGCAAATTTGAGCTTCCAGATCATCTCTGGACTCCATCATCAGTGCCTGCATGAATAGCAGACTTAGGAAATGTTTGATGAATGACTTAATGAAATGCATGAATAGGTAAGCTAATGGTTTGTAGCCCCTATCACCCTCACCATATACAAACACTGGCAGTTTCATATGACTACACCTTTGCTCATGTTCTTTCCCCCTTCTTCACCTAATTGCCACTTCCTTCAGAACTGAGCTCCGGCATCATCTCCTCCTGGAAGCCTTCCCATATTTCCCCTAGCTGGGATAAGAGCTCTGGATTCCTTACAGCACCTTTTCATAAGAATTAACATTTGTCTTCCTTTCGTATCTGCTAAGAGCTGAATTGTATCCCTCTAAATTCATACATTGAAGCCTTAACCCCCAATATGACTCTATTTGGAGATAGGGCCTTTAAGAGGTAATTAAAGTTAAATGAAGTCATAAGGTGGGGCCCTAATCCAACATGACCACAGAGCTCTCTCCCGTCCCCACCCCTGCACCCACACCAAGGAAAGGCCATGTGAGAACACAGCAAGAAGGCAGCTGTCTGCAACCCAGGAAGAGAGCCTTCACCAGAACCCAGCCGTGCTGGCACCTTGATCATGAACTTCCAGCCTCCAGAACTATGACAAAATTTAATTTCCATCGTTTAAGTCATCCAACATGGTATTTTGTTAAGGCAGCCCAAGCTGACGGAGACAGTATCCCACATAGGCTCGAGCTCCTGAGGGCCGGGACTGTACTGTGTTCTTATTTCTAGTCTTAGCACCTAAGGCAGCCCTTGAACATAGTTAAGCGCTCAATAAATTATTGTTGAACAAATGTAAGAGTGGATGAAGATAAGAAGCCGGAAAGACTTCCTCCCTTTCCCACCCTTAGGACTGACTGCAAAGCCATGTTTGGACCCTCATCACTGTCAGTGAAAAACTCAATACTCCAGGTGCTGTCACTCCCAAGAGAGGGGCAAGGCGCAAGTCAAGGCCAGACATCAATCCTCTCACGGTCCTCCCTGCCCATCACTGCAGCTGTCGTTGCTGCCTGACTCAGATGTCAGAAGCAAAGAGGAAAGGACAGAGCATTTAGAAATAATAAAACCCTTGGCTCAATGATGTCCTTTATTCATACAGTAGCAGGTCTTAGCTGTTGAACTTGGCTGTGGAGTCCTTCAGCCCTCTTCTAATCAAGCTATGAGTACTCAACTGGGATTACGTATGTATGTATTCTGTGGTTTGAGAGATAAACAAGAGGAAAAGTACAGTGCCTGCCCTGGAGGAATCTGTAATGTGGGCTGCAGAGGTCTCACATTAGGGTTTGCTCTCAGTCCTTCCCACATTTGTAACTTGGTAGACAAAGGTTTACTGAGAATCTAGAACACACAGGCCACAGTCAGGTGAAAAAAAAGATAAATCGGTTGTGGATCCTAGCTTTAAGGAGCTTTTATAACTAAAAATATAACAATAACAATGAAGATACCAATATTTATTGAAATCTTACTACATAATAGGCATTCTTCTGTGTGTTTCTATAGATTTAACTTATTTAATTCTCACAACAGTTCTATAACATGGGTACTATTATCCCCCATCTTACAGAAGAGGAAACTGAGGCAGAGGCAATTAAGGGGCTTGCCCCACATATAAAGCCACCAAAGCAGTAGAGCAAGGATTCCAGTCCCCCCGGATTGCCACATGGTGACAGGGCCCTTATTTCCCCTCATCTCTAGAATGATACAGCTGCACTATGTGCAAAATTTTCATATGTTGGTGAAAGGATATGAGGGAGCACAACATCTAAAGTAGGGGCACAGTCAAGTGGGAGCAGGTTTGTCCAGGGGCAGCTTGCTCAGCCAGGTGCCCTCAGTCCCCACTCTGTCCAGGAAGACCCTGCAGGAGAGCAAAAGGCTCCATGCAAACCCTGGCCCAGACCATCTCCTAGGCTCTCTCCAGCACACCACACCATGATTCTAGTGCTCTGGGAGTTCTGAGAACACAGAGATTTCCTGGAGCTGGGGAGGAAGCCAAGGACCATCTGAGAGTCACAGGAGGTTGTGGCAGTGAGATGGAAGCTGACAGAGGGGCGCCCAGATGCAGGAACAGCTGTGGAAAGGCCAGCTGGAGGAGAGGGCACAGAGGCTTAGGGTAGAGTCAATGAATGGGGTCAGCAGGGCTAACATGAATTTTGTTCCACCCTAGATTTTCCAAGTCCATGCATCATCCTGGGTGCATTCATTCATGTGAACGTGTGGCCATCTCACTCTTCAACCTTATGAAAGTGTGTGTATCTTAATCCAGTAATGGTACTGAAAGAATAGTTTCAATGTAAACTGAAGGTCCAGGAAGCAATGGGCTGGTACAGTCTTTTGCATTTCCATGGACGTTAGCTTAGGCTACATCACCGAGAACATGACCCAGTTTAGCAACAACATCAACACAGCAGGCACTATAGGAAAACGCCAAGTATTAGAAGACCAAGGCACGTAGGCAGCAAGATGCACAGAAACCATGTAGCAAAGTGAAGGTAGAGGCCAGGTAGCCAGCTCTGCTTTCGATTAAAGCCCCTGTTAACCACACTACATGGAGGAAATTGAGAAACAGCAATTTTAATAGCAGCAATGACAGAGTAACAGGAGTCTACCCTTGAGTGTGGCTGCAGTATTCCACCCAAGATGCAAAGGCAACTGCTACAGAGATAGGGTAGGTTCACTCCCAGCTTTAGATAATCTGTGTGTTTGAAGAGCTCCCAAAGAACTGGGTCTTCCTTCATCTGGAGATGACAAGGGGCAAGAGCTCTCTGTGTGCTCATTTCCATGTAAATGAAAACTGCAGCAGCAGATTTTCAGCAAAGCCACTCTCGAGGGGATAGA
Organism: Homo sapiens; assembly: GCF_000001405.40. NCBI lineage: Eukaryota > Metazoa > Chordata > Mammalia > Primates > Hominidae > Homo > Homo sapiens. The sequence continues at coordinate 223,352,383 of NC_000001.11, forward strand.
TAAATGCCCTGCTACCTCCTTAAACCATACAAGACCCTCCCTGATTAATTCAAAGCCCATTGCACAGACTGCACTTTAAGGAGCGCTTCCTCAAATCAGGCCCTGGCATTCCAGGGGCCCATGGGTGGCAAAGATCTAGGAAGGTCTGGGGCCGAGAAGAGGCTGCAGCAAGGTACTCTTGGCAGGCTATCAGGCTGCTTTCCTGAAGGGCTCTGAGGCTGGACTGCAGAGGATTTCCAGGCATTCCTGCAAAGGACTAGGAATCCCAAGATCTCCAGCCCACAGACACCCAGAAGCAGCATCCTACCTGCAAAGCTATAGAGGACTCCCAAGAGTTAGAGATAGCAGGCAGCTGGAGGTGAGAGGAGGCAGTCAACAACAAGGATAAGCACTTAGTGAGTCACTGGATTCAAATGCAACTCCCAGTTCACCCCACTGTCCTACCTGAGCCCATGGGGGCGAACTCACCATGCCCGCACACCTCCAGCATCCAGCAACAGAAATAGCATGCTAGATAAGGGGGAAGCAGAGCAAGGGATGCATGGAGCACCTCCCTCCCTCATGGACCACCTCCCTCCCTCATGGACCTCCGGAGCACCTATAACAAATCACTCGCCTGCTTCACATGTTTAATCTCTTTTTCCTGAGGCTTCTGTGAGCACACAAAAGGAGCTGACCGGGCTTGGGCCAACAGCTATTGAGAAGTTCCTCTCAACACCACAAGGACCTTTTCCATTTCCAGACGTCACCATTCACTGAACATGCCAGCAGCAGGCACTGAGAACAGACTGGCACATCCCATTTTGCAGCAAAACAGCTCCTCTAGCTGCCTGACATCATGTCCACACACAATGAGTTTTCACGGGGGTCAGGACCTGCACGTGGGAAGGCGTTTACATGCTGTGCAGAGCATCCCTTACCCTCCCTTTGTAATTAGGGAGGCAAAAGGCAAAAATAGCCCTATGTGCAGTGGAGAGGTGTCTCCCTCCAGACGCTCAATAATAACTCTGTTTTGTATTTACGAAATGCCTCTGACACTGCCTCCTGTATACCAGCACATCCTATGTCCCTGTGAAGTCCAGAGGAACAAGTCTTATGGCCCCTGATTTACAGATGAAGAAACCAATGAATGGCAAGGTTAAGGGACCTGCTTCAGAGGTGACAGAGCTGGTCACAGAGGGTGGGGTGATGGAGAGATCACTCTCTAACAATTGAATACTTTGAAGATGAACTGACAGCCAGAGAACACTGAATCTTTGAAAAACTCAGGGACAGCGCTGCCAAAAAATTTGTGCAGGGAGAATCTGTATCCGGAGGGCTGAGCACATTTTTTAAAATCCCGGTGCCCCAGGACAGAGGAAGGGGCAGCAGCAGGGATGACGCCCCCTGGCCACCATCACTGCAGTGTTCAGGTGACAGACCCCTCTGCTCAATGTCCCTAGGAAGGGAGACACCCAAAGCCACTCATGGCCACACTGACCCTGCTGTACTCTACTCCTCCTCTTAGCTTTGTCCTCCCATTGAAGGTTAGAAAGCTACTCGGGAGGCTGAGGCAGGAGAATTGCTTGAGATCAGGAGGCAGAAGCTGCAGCGAGCCGAGATCGTGGCACTGCACTCCAGCCTGGGCAACAAGAGTGAAACGTTGTCTCAAGAAAAAAAAAAAAAGAAAGTAGCAAAAAGAAAAGGTTCTGACTCTTCTGCAGCTGAGCCTCGGACAGCTCTATGTGGATTCTCCACCCCCTCATCATAGGCTTCCTCCCTTCTGGCTCTGTCAACTTTCTGTTCATTGACATGGGCATCCAGAATTCAGATTACTTAAACATTAACCAAATAATACACAAATAAGTCTCCCGCCCCCAAATAAGAGGAGCAATCAATTGCCAGAATAAAGTGTTGTTGGTTTCTTAAAAATTCTTATTATGACCAATGCTGATGGTCAGCATAACTCCTCAGCCTCCAAAAAAAAAAAAAAGAACACCTCGCATCCACAAAGCAATGCTATAAACGGAAGAATGATAGAAAAAAGCCTAGTCCACCATTTACAATCCAAGGGGAAAAATCTGGGCAAGCCTTTTAAATGTCACAGAGCAATTCAGACCATATCGTTCTAAATCAGAGGAACTGTACATTTCCAAAATATTACACCCCCATTTTGTGTAAGTATAATTAAAACACTTAGGTAGCCTTCATCAGCCACCAAGTATATGCTGGCATGCTATAACCGAAACATACAGATGAGCCCCCCAACACACACACAAAACATTAACTGAAAATGCATCCTTGGGTTAGATTCTAACATTGACACTCAGAGTTGGTTAACAGTGGTAGCTTAAAAGGACTGTTGAGAGCCTTTCACAAGATTAACTCTAAACCTATTAAATTTTTACAAAACAAGCAGATCCTATTGTTTCTTGCCTGGAGAAAATCAGAATCTTCTAGGTGTTAAGTATTTAGGGAAGTCTGAAGGATTCTTCTATGTACTGAGAATCTGAATTTGAAACTAGTTAGAACAGGAACAATGCTGTGGACACAAAGACATCAAAGAATCCACCATAAGAATGCATTTTCTTTCTTTCTTTCTTTCTTTTTTTTTGAGACAAGCTCTTACTCTGTCCCCTAGGCTGGAGGGCAGTGGCTTGATTTCAGCTCACTGCACTTCTGCTGCGACTACAGACACGTGCCACCACACCCAGCTAATTTTTTTTTTTTTCAGATGGAGTCTCGCTCTGTTGCCCAGGCTGGAGTTCAGTGGCACAATCTCGGCTCACTGTAATCCCCACCTCCTGGGTTCAAGCGATTCTCCTGTTTCAGCCTGCTGGGTAGCTGGATTACAGGTACATGCCACCATGCCCAGCTAATTTTTGTATTTTTAGTAGAGATGGGGTTTTGCCACATTGGCCAAGCTGATCTCAAACTCCTGACCTCAAGTGATCCACCTGCCTCGGTCTCCCAAAGTGCTGGGATTACAGGCATGAGCCACCGTGCCCGGCCACACCCAGCTAATTTTTGTACTTTTGGTAGAGACGGGGTTTTTGCATGTTGCCCAGGCTGGTCTTGAACTCCTGGGCTCAAGTGATCCAACCACCTTCGCCTCCCAAAGTGCTGAGGTTACAGATGTCAGCCACCGCACCAGGCCCATTTTCTTTCTTTCTTAAAAAGAATCTCCCTCCTCCTGATTCACCCAATTCAACCACATATGTATTTTATAAATGTAATCAGACCCCAAAAATAAGGTCTTTTTATATTTTGTTACTCTGAGAAAAAAAGGAATATAATGCATGAGTGACCCTCCTTGCTCATCTCCACTTCCACGGTGGTAATTCTGGGAGATAAAGGTCACAAATTTCAAACAGAAACATGAGATAACCGGGTTACACCTTCATTTGCAAAGAACGTCACCCTTACTCATCCTCTCTTGAAAACTCAATGGATTGGGATGATAATGAAATGATCACTGATCAGGTTTACCAGGTTCTGCAATTCCTCTCACTCCTTAGAACCAAAATCCATTCCTGGAGACTGGGTGTGCACTCTTGGGTACACATATAGGGTTATGCTTCTGTCTGCCTGCAGGCCCTGACCTGCTGGGGCCTGCACATGCCTCTGTTACACAGGGGAGAGTCATCTATAATGGCACTCCCAACTTTATTGTCCTTTCCAAATAATGTCAAGAATTATTTTGTTTGACTTCTCTGATGTTCCCAGTTTACCTTGTTTAAGATTAATAAAGCAATTACAATACTCTCAATTAAGAAGCTATTTGAGCAACTCAATTATTTCTATTTTTTTTTTTTCTTGAGTGGATAGTTTTCTTCTCTCTTAGGGTAGTACGGCATCCTTTTCTTGAGAGAAGAAGAAATATTGGGCCAAATTCTTTCCTAAAACACAGCATCTTAAGCTCATACCATGAAACATGGCTTTCTGAGTAAGTGACTCTCAGATCTCACAAACTATCAAATGTTATTTTTACTTCAAATTTAACCTTTTAGGGGGAACTTCTACACACATTCACAAATCTCAGATTTCTTTTTCTTTTTTTTTTTTCAGTGACAGGGTCTTGCTCTGTTGCCCAGACTGGAGTGCACTGGCATGATCATAGCTCGCTGCAGCCTCAAATTCCTGGGCTCAAGTGATTCTCCCACTTCACCCTCCCAAAGTGCTGGGATTACCGGCATGAGCCACCGTGCCTGGCCAGATTTTGTTTTTTGATTACCTTTTGACATATACTAACTAGATTTTCATCTACAGCATACGGTTGAGAAGATAAGTTCAAAGTCTGGACCAAAATGACAAAGAGGAAACAAAGAGGAAAGTCTTGACCAATAGAAGAGATTGCTCCTAATCTGGCTTTGTCTGATATTTGTGGAACCCTAGGACAGCAATCTCACTGAGGACGTCTCTTGAAATTTAACAAACAACAACAAAAAAAGGCAGAAAGCAAAAAAGAGAGAGAGAAATACTCAAAATCTCTTCCTTATCTTACTAGGTTGTTAAGAAAATTAAAGGTGGCGATACAGCTAAAAACATCTTGCAAACTGTACTTGTCAAGTGCTTGTCCAAGTTACATGAAAAAGAACCACTCTTAGGAAGGCTCTAAGGGAGCAACAGAGCTCAGAGAACCATCAGAAGGGAATGGTGACGGCAGTGACAGTCACTAGCAGAAGGCCCCAGAAACCAGCCACTTGTTTACTCACCCTTGGCAAAGCAGGTAAGAGTCAAGCACAACCCATTCTGACTACCTTCTTCCAACAGGCACAAAAGGACTGGCACATGGGTTTCTGTCCTCTTACCATTCACCATTCAGAGCCCAAGATTCAGGCACTCTGGCCTTCACTTTGTCTTGGGTTGTGGGATTTTCTTGTTGTTGTGTTGATTTGTTTATATGTTTTCTGCTTTTTGCTCACAACACACAAGAGTTCCCTTCTCTCAGGGCAGGGGGTGTTCCAAAATACTTGCTAACTCAGCTTAAAGAAAAATGTTTGAATCAAATACAATACAAAGAAAAAAATGTATTTAGGGATTGGGATTTCCAAGTCCTGGCATGCTAAAAGAAAGATTATCATTAAAAGAATAATCTGGGTCACCATGCCCCACTTGTAAGCCAGGTGAACTTGGACAAGTTGCTTGATCTTTCCATGCCTTCTTTTCTTCTTCTATATAATAAGGATAAATAATAAAATCTACTTCATACAGTTGTGAGGAATTAAATGAGTTACTATCCACAAAGTGTGGAAAACTGAGTTGGTACGTAATAAGCACTCTTCAATTATTATTGAAGTACTATTAACAATTTGGAAACTTTTGTCAATCACGCAGATGTCGGCCAACTTAAAATTTTGTCCCTTTTCCCAACCTTCCATGGTTAACAATAGTTGAACAGCTCATTCTTATGAGAATGGACCAATAAATCAATAAAATACATAAGAATATACATCTATCCATCAGTCCTAGATACTGTGATTGGTTTTGGTGAAGCAGGACCATATTTGTACACAAATTTGAAAGTCTATCCTTTTGCCCCTTTCTTCCCCTCAATTCAGAGGCAATGATCCCAATGATCTATTTAGACATACTGTTACTATGTGTGGTTATTTCAATTGTCAAACAGCAAATGAGCTTTCAAAGCACAGCAAGGATAAAGAGGAGCAGTGTGCAAAATCACTTTTCTCATCAGAATCAATAAATAACACTAACACGGAATTTTAAATCGAATTTAAAATATGTGTGAAAAAATAATTTTATGCATGCTTTTTGCATTTAAACTTTTGAGAAGACACCAACGCTTATCTGAATGTTTTCTCAGGACAAAGGACTGTATCCCCTTAACTGTGTATCCCCAGGATGTACAATAGACACTGGAAAAAGATGGATGGATGGATGGATGGATGGGTGGGAAAAAGAGAGCTGGCTTTACTCAGATTTTAGAATCCATCAAATTCCTGTAATCGCAGAATCAAATATTAGTGATATGAAAGGAACTGAGTCAAGGGGAAGTCACACCACTTGACCAAAGCTAGGTGGCAATTTAAGGACAGAGGCTGAACTTGAGTTCTATCCGTCCTATAAAGAATGCAGAGCACTTGTTTATACCAGAGTTTCCCATCTAAAGGCAAGCCTCGTTGGTCTTTTGCAAGCTTTGGAAATATGTCTCTGAAACCAGGAACAGAATAATTTAGGTGCTTTTATTCACGTATCTAATCAGTGTTTACTGGAGAGAGATCTTCACCTACATTTTTCATTACATTCAAAAATTAAAGAACCACTGATTCTCTGACTTGCCTCTTCAGGCCTCTGAGACAAGAGATTTGCTACTTGTTATATGAAATCCTTTTGCCTCCAAAAGCTTTCAGATTTTACCCACTGGATAAATCAAAAGAGTCTCCATGCTGCTTATATTAAGGTAGCCTTTTGTTGAAGAAACATACATTAGAGTTAGAGGAGCTGGGACTTTGCTTACAGATTAAGCGCAGTTTGAAATTGTGAATTTTAGATGTAGCATTGAATGAAAAGCTTTCACTCTACCATGTAAGAAAATGTTTCTCAATAAAACTAAGGGACTTAACACTACAAATCAGTGAGTCAGTCAGAAAGCATCTGTTTCCACCTGCTGGCACAGAGCACAGCACTACAGCGACATGAACCAAATGAGGGCTCCAGGAGCTCAATTCAGCTGCACTAGGACCATGACTTGGGTATGCAGAGAGGGCCGCTGGACCAGGGGTTTGCATGAGTCAGAGACCTAGAAACAGAAAAAGGAAGACAAGCCAAGCTCAGATGATATTTTGCTCCTGCTCTCCACCCTTCAGTGGGTTCCCCACTGCCTGCTGTGTGACTTTCAGAACCCCTATTGGAGCTTCTAGGACTTTTACAATAAGGTTCTAACCTATTTTTCCTTCTACCCTACTGATTCCTTGCAGGTATACTATATTCCAGATTAAACGGACTATTTTCTGCTCCCTGAAGGGTCCAATCATGTAACCACCTTCCACACCTTTGCACAAGCTATCCCTCCACCTGAGATGCACCCTCCCTCCCCACCATCCTATCCTAAGTGCTACCTCTTCTCTAGAGCCTTTCCTGATTTTCCTTCCAACCTCATAGGCTACCATTAATTGGATGTGGCCCCAGCTATCATGAAACTTTTGCACTTTTGTAAAAAGTAACTCACTCATAGCAATTATTTTCTAAATGGTGTGGCAGTAATTTGGGAATCTTTTTTCTTGCTCTCAATCAAAATTAGCTGAACATCTACTGTGTGTCAGATGTTGTGCTGGGTGCCTGAGACACAAACATGAATAAAGTCAAGTTTCTTGCCCTCAGTGGGCTTGTGGTCTAGTAAATGAGGCAATATTATGATAGAGGGTTACAGCTAGTGCAATGGGAGCCCAAGTAAGGGAAGAACTTACTGACTAGGGAAATATGAGAGAAGTTATGGCATTTAAAAGTTGGGGATAGAAAGAAATTTGAGAAAATTTGCTCATTTAGGAAAAAAATGAGTAAGAGAGAGTTCTAGGTAAAAATAACATTTATGCAACAGTGCTTGGCTCAGGACGGGGTAGGCACTCAATGTTTATTGAATGAATAAAGCAAAAGTCTCCAAAATCACGGCATTGTCTTAGCCCCCTCCGCCCTACTATTATTTACATTTACTAAGTGCCTACATGATTTCCATCCTTCACACCAACCCTATAAATTAGGCACCGTCATCCTCATTTTATAGATGAGGAAGCTGAGGCTCCCAAGTCCTGAGACCCCAAAGCTATCAAGTGGCAGAGCCTGATTGAGTTATTTATAATACAGAAATGTGCTAAAGAATTCACCTTAAAGGAGTCACTTGTTGAGCAAACTCTTGGCTCTCTTCCTTGAAGCCTGGGGGTGGGGGGCACTCTGGGCATCCCTCAAAGCCCAGCAGGTCTCTGGTCAAGTGTACTGGGGCAGAAAGGGGAGAAACAGCTGAAGCCATGCTCCATGCAGATTCCACACACGGCAGGGTCCTATATCTCCCCACCAACCTAATATGAGTTCTTGCACAGCATTTGGTCTCAGTGGCCCCAAATGAGGGCACTCTTCCTTAACGACAAAAGACAACCTGGAGAGAGCCACCCAAACATCATCTCAGGACAAGTCAGGCTCATAAAAGCTTCCCTAGGGTTCAAAGAACTGAATCGGAGCTCTGGCTTTCTAAGACAAAGCATTTCATTTTTGATGGAGTTCCTGTTCCTACTTTTCTTTGATCATTTTCTCAATTTCTGCCTTTCTAGTTCAGGCTTTTTCTTCAATACTTGTACTGGGCACATGCTTTTTTTTTCTCCTAGCTGAGACGATTATATCTTGCCATTGCGGTGTTCCTTTTCCATTGAAAGCAATCAAAAATGAAAATCCACATTTCAGAACAGTGTCCATTAAATATACACTTTTTTGTGGATGAAAAAAAAGCACTCTCCGAGGGCTGATTTTCAGCTCTGTGTATCACCTGAAGATTAGATATTGGGTGAGACTTCTGCTCCTCACAGGCCATTTGCATTCAGTAATTGAGAATGATGGCAGAAAGTCTGGAGCAGAAGCAACTTATTTTAAGGAATGCCTTGGTCTCAAGCATGGCTAATCAAAGTGTGGTCCTTGGATCAGTGGTAACTGCTTCACCTGGGAGCTTATTAGAAATGCCGAGTCTCAGGCCCCACTCCAGACCAAATGAATCAGCATCCACCTTTTAACAAGATCCCAGGTGACTTGTATGCACATTAAAGTTTTAGAAGCACAAGTCTAGAGCTAAGGTGTATTTGCTTTTATTGCCTTATTGGAGCCTCCATGTGCATTTCTTTCCTAAAAAAGAAAATCTCTGTATAATGAACTCTATAGGACATCCCCCACCACCCTTGCTTGCCCAAACGGTTTATTCATAGAGGAACTGTGAAGTGATAAATACTCTTCCAGAAATCACACTCTCAGCCTGAAGGAGTTCAAAGTGAAACGCAGCTGATGGCTAGCTTCCTGCAGCATATGAGTGCCTAAAAAGAAAGAGCTCTGAGACTGACAGGTGACAGGCAACCCTTACTCTCATCCTCTTCTCCAAGGCTCTGGATATTTTTGCCTGGCATGATCCCCCACAGGAAGGCAGGGAAAAAAGACATGCTATAGGAACCTCATAGGTGACTGTCATAAGACCGAGGTGGCCATGATGTACACTGAGCTCTGAAATGTTGAGGAGGATGCTCTGTAAACACGACCAAGCAGAACCAAGAGCACAAAACAAATCTCAGCTGTGCTCAGACCTCACCCATCCAATAACAATAGTCAAGACAAATGTAAATGAACCTTGATTAACTAGTCTGTCATCTACATAAGAGAAATGGACCAAGAAGATGGAAAATCATGTGGACCTGGTTTGAGAGAATGAAAGCTAGAACTGGGAGGCAAAAGCAGAGAGGAGGGGAGGAAATGATCCAGATCCACGCAATACTGTTCTGCCCGTCTATTCCCACTCATATGTGAAGCAGAGCTGGTGTCCACGGCAGATTAGAGGCTGTGACCAGAGCCCTGGCAGGGCACACAGGTGCTGGCCTGGCCTCACACTTGACCTTCTCCTCCATGAAGAGGAAGCTTGCCTCAGAGAAATCTCTATAAAAAACTACAAGCATCCAAAAAGTTATTCCTTCTTAAAAAAAAAATACAAAAATAAAAATAAAAACCAATGTCCACCCAAAGCAAGTGTTTTCTCACTAATTTTGATAGATATGCACATTGCAATAAACACCTTTATACTCTGGGCATCTTTCAGATGTCTAAGTGGAATGCCTGGGTTATTGATTACTCTGTGTTAAAGCCCAACTTATTACACCTCTCCTCCACTTTTGCTAATTTTTCACTCATTTTTTTTCCATTTTCACCTTTGAATTCTCTGAAACAGCAATATTTTAAAACGCTAAAATGGTTTATTTACATCAGTCAATACTTGCTTTTCAACCAAAGATAATTTATTTATATATTAACAGTATCTCAGCTCCTTTTAACGTCCACATCAGCAAGCTCTAGAGAACGTTTGCAATGGACAGGAATGATGGACAGCAATGAGCAGTGGAGGCAGGGAGACTAGGCTCTCAAATTCAGACAGGAACTCCATCTGTCTTCCTCTACCACAACTAAAAGATACCCCTCCCCCAGAACCAAATATGTTATAGATTAGCCGCCCACGGAGGCTGAGGCTATCAATTTTATTTCAGCTAACTTCTACTTCATAGAAGAGCAACTGACTTTATTCCCTGAAATCATACCTCGATGAGCAAAGCAATCTGTCAGAGGCACACCTGAAAGAATACCTCTGCACCTCCTCCACGCCCCCAACATACACATACATGCTGCACACACAGGGGAAGGGAAAGTTAACTTTCAAATAAACCTGCCCCGCAGCCAGTCTGACCACGTTTCCAGACCCTTCACATTCTCAAAGGTGGTTCTTAAACTCTTGCTTAAATCCAGAGGCTGAAATCTGACCTCTATCTGCTGAAGGCATTGGCAAGAGGTCCACAAATACACCACTCCCCACTGCCCCCACCCCCCACCCCTCCCCCCCCCGCCCCCGCTTCCTTGGCCAAAGTGGGAATAATGGGCCAGGCTTTATTGTCTTTCCTTGGGAGAAGCCAGGCCCGGAGGCTGGTGGGAAGCTCCAGACAGAATGTGGGTGTGTGAATCTGTGCGGGCTCCACATGGGAATTTTCAGGGAACTCCAGCGGTTTCGGAGAAGGGCGGCCATAGGCTGGGACGCAGGCACCCTCGCGTTGTCAGATCCTCCTGAAGTCTGGGTGTATGGGGGAGGGGTGCAGGGCTGTCCTGGCAGCTAGGCTCTTTCTCCCCTCTGGGCCATCCCCAGGCCCTCCCACCACAGCTGGGTCACTCACCGCCCGTGAGCTGTGCAGGGCCGAAGCACAGCGCCAGCTGAAACCACAGGATCACGGCCAAGAGTCTCTGGGGGGACTGAGGTTGCTGCTGCTGCTGCTGCTGCTCTAGAAATCCATCTCCATTGCTCGGGTTCATTCCATGATACATCTTTCATCCACAGAGGGCATCCAGCTTGCAAGAGTCTGCAACCAGAAGCGGAACACCACAATAAGCCAGTCTGTCCGGGCTCGGGGGCCACGCTCCCCCTCCTCCGCTCTGGGACCCGGCGCCTCGGCTTCCCAGGCTCCATCCTGGTTCCTCCCCCGCGCGGCCCCCGCCCCCTTTCCCACGGCGAGGTCCCCCGCCTTCCCCCGAGCCGGGTGCACTGAGTAACAGCCGCCGTGGGATGCTGCGCGTGCTGGGGGATGGAGGACAGGAGGGAGGGCAGGGGTTAGCGCACATTGGCTCCGCGCCGGTCCCCGGGATTCAGCAGCTGTGCCCACCACAGGAAAGTCTAGAGCCTCCCCGCGTCTCGGGGCCGCGAAGACACTTTTCCCTGGGCCTATACATTTCACTCTGGGAATCTCACAATGTGGCACCGTCTCCCCCAGCTACTTCTCTGGTTTTCCTCGGGATTGGGATCGATCCTACTGCCCCAGTCCCCAGTGAGATTTCTCTGCGCTGTCAAAAAAAAAAAAAAAATTCTCCCTTGGGGAGCTGCACCAGGCACCAACTCCCCCTCCCCGGCCTGCGCGCGCCTCCTCGGAATGGAAGACCCTTCCGGGACTGTCGGTCTTACCTGTGGGTCTCATGCATGCAGCTTCCTTCCCTCCTCCGCCTCCTCCCCCCGCCAGTCTAACCCGCATCTGTGCGCGACCTCTGCTGCCGCCGCTGCGCGAGCGAGCGAGACGGAAGCTTCGGCGGCGGCGCTCGGCTCCAGCTCCCCCGCCCGCGCGCTCCCTCCCCAGGCGCCCCCGAGCGGGCGGGTGTTGGGGGAGGACGGGAGCCCGGCCGCGCGCCCCCGCGGAGGCGCCCGCGCGCCCGCTACCTGAACTCGCGAGCGCGCGGCGGCGGCGGCGCGGAGAGAGGGAGTGGGTGGGGACGGGGTGAGTGGGGGGGCGGGGACGGGGCGAGGGGTGCGCGGGCGCGCGAGCACGCGCCTCTGCCAACCCAGCCGGCGCCGCGGCGTGGCCGGAGACTGGCGAGGGCGGGGACGGGGAAAGGGGCCCGCCGCCGCGACCAATGGGAAGCCCGCGCGCCTGCACCTGTCGGGGCGCGAGGCGCCGGCGGCCGGTCTTGCACACGCACGCAGCTCGGTCGCCCCTTCCCCGGCGCTGGACTGCAGCCCCTGCCCCGGCTGCGCGCCAGCTCAGGTGCCCGCCCCGGCCTCCGCGCGGCCTCTGGTGCCCCCAGCCCGCGGCGCGGCGCGGGAGAGCGCTCCGCCCTAGAACTACCGCCGCGGCGGTGGCTGCAGACCCGGGGCGAGTGCGCGGCCGGCAGCTCCCAACCCCAGAACTCTCGCCACAGACCCGGTTAACTTGAGCACCGCCAATTGCCCGAGTCTCTTAATTTCCCGCGTTAACCCCTCCCCGCTCCCATCTCCGCCGAAGCTCTGCGCGTCCCCAGGGAGCCCGAAGGACCATCTGAGGCGGCTGAGAGACACTCTCCCCCTCCCCCACACCCTTGGTATTTTCCCTCTGCCAGCCGCAGGTGTTGCGAGTGAGGACCCCTGTCCGGTCTTGGAGATGCGCGGGGCCCTCGGAGCCTTGGCCTGGGAGGCGCTCCCGGGGGCGGGGAGGCGGGGGTAGCGGGTGATTGGTGACACGCAGAAGGTTGGGTACCTGGAGGAGGGGAGGCTTCCGGGGTCGTAGATGGGAAGCCAAGGGGGTCGGTGGTAATTGCCCTCCCAGCCCCAAGTGGAGAGAGTTGGCCTGGTCGGTCCCCTGTCTCTGCGCCGATTCTGGTGTCGGAGCTCAGCCCGCAGTGGTTGCAGCTCTCACTCGCCGCCGGCTCTGATCGCCCGCGGTCGGTTTCAAGATAGGGAAGCCCACATTCCAGCCACAGTGATTAAGAGGTGTCAGCTAATGAGGTGGCGTCCACCGGCAGCGCTTTAGAGCCAGTGACACTCCATGATTCTGTAGCAATTTGTGGATATGAAAACTATGTTCCTGATACAGCTACTAAATCATCCTTTGCTTCTATCGACTTTCCCAAAATCTCACATACTGATGGTAGTTGGGAAATTACAGCTTTTATACTGTGTCAGCTCTTACTGGGAGTAATTTTAACACATTCTTTCAGGATAGATTAGCTTTTAGTAGATAAGTCAAGCTCCGTTATTTTGTTTTTTGCTTTTGCGTGTGTGTGAAATTGAGATGGCAGCTTTGCACAAAATAAACAAGATGTTGACTAGCACAAGTCCAGTTTTGCTACAGCTTGTACTTTGGGACCCCAAAATCTTAGTAGGGGACCATCCACCTTCCCAAGGTCCTGTGACTGTCCTCTACAGTTTGTATATTTATTCCATTTTTCTTTCTTAGTAAATTTTCTAAATCTTTTTAAATATCCACCAAATCAACAACGGTCAGAAATATTTGTTGACCATGCACATGTTCTTAACAATTATAAGAGATATATCTAAGTGCCATTGAAATCTGTTCTTTGGCTGGAGTACAATCTAATTTTAACAGAGAATGTTGGGACTGAAAGGAACATTCAAGTTTATCTGATCCAAACATGGGATCTATGCTTGAGTTTCCTCTCTGACATTTCTAATAAGTGGTCATTCAGCCTCACTGAATACTCATCAAGGTAGCCTGTTTATATTTGCCAGCAGGTCTCTTAGAAAAGTCTTTCTTATATTGAACTGAAATCTACTTCCCTGAAACCTTTACCCACTGATTCTGGCTCTCCTCTGTGGGCCCACGCAGCTAAATAGAATTCCTCTTTCTTAAGAGAGCATCTCATGGCTTTGGAGATGGCTTCGTGTTCCCTTGAGTCTTCTCTTCTCTGGGTCACGCATAGCCATTTCCTTCAGTGCGACGATTCCCAGACTTTTCACCAGCCTGTGGCCTTTCTCTGACCCAGTTTCTCAATGATATCCACCCCCAGCAATCAAAGTTTGTTTCCAGAAAGAGGCCCTACTTTCCCTCTGTGGGTTCTGACCAGTACAGGCCGGTACTGTTGCTTTCTGTATTTTAAACAACTTGCTTCTATTAATTCAGCTGAAGAAGACAAGCATTTGGAGGGCAACTACAGCATAACATATTGTTATTATTATTATTATTTTTAATTATTGTTATACTTTAAGTTTTAGGGTACACGTGCACAATGTGCACGTTAGTTACATATGTATACACGTGCCATGCTGGTGCGCTACACCAACTCGTCATCTAGCATTAGGTATATCTCCCAATGCTATCTCTCCCCGCCCCCCACCCCACAACAGTCCCCAGAGTGTGATGTTCCCCTTCCTGTGTCCATGTGTTCTCATTGTTCAATTCCCACCTATGAGTGAGAATATGCAGTGTTTGGTTTTTTGTTCTTGCGATAGTTTACTGAGAATGATGATTTCCAATTTCATCCATGTCCCTACAAAGGACGTGAACTCATCATTTTTTATGGCTGCATAGTATTCCATGGTGTATATGTGCCACATTTTCTTAATCAAGTCTATCATTGTTGGACATTTGGGTTGGTTCCAAGTCTTTGCTATTGTGAATAGTGCCGCAATAAACATACGTGTGCATGTGTCTTTATAGCAGCATGATTTATAGTCCTTTGGGTATATACCCAGTAGTGGGATGGCTGGGTCAAATGGTATTTCTAGTTCTAGATCCCTGAGGAACCACCACACTGCCTTCCACAATGGTTGAACGGGTTTACAGTCCCACCAACAGTGTAAAAGTGTTCCTATTTCTCCACATCCTCTCCAGCACCTGTTGTTTCCTGACTTTTTAATGATTGCCATTCTAACTAGTGTGAGATGGTATCTCATTGTGGTTTTGATTTGCAATTCTCTGATGGCCAGTGATGGTGAGCATTTTTTCATGTGTTTTTTGGCTGCATAAATGTCTTCTTTTGAGAAGTGTCTGTTCATGTCCTTTGCCCACTTTTTGATGGGGTTGTTTGTTTTTTTCTTGTAAATTTGTTGGAGTTCATTGTAGATTCTGGATATTAGCCCTTTGTCAGATGAGTAGGTTGTGGAAATTTTCTCCCATTTTGTGGGTTGCCTGTTCACTCTGATGGTAGTTTCTTTTGCTGTGCAGAAGCTCTTTAGTTTAATTAGATCCCATTTGTCAATTTTGGCTTTTGTTGCCATTGCTTTTGGTGTTTTAGACATGAAGTCCTTGCCCATGCCTATGTCCTGAATGGTAATGCCTAGGTTTTCTTCTAGGGTTTTGATGGTTTTAGGTCTAACATTTAAGTCTTTAATCCATCTTGAATTGATTTTTGTATAAGGTGTAAGGAAGGGATCCAGTTTCAGCTTTCTACATATGGCTAGCCAGTTTTCCCAGCACCATTTATTAAATAGGGAATCCTTTCCCCATTGCTTGTTTTTCTCAGGTTTGTCAAAGATCAGATAGTTGTAGATACGCAGCGTTATTTCTGAGGGCTCTGTTCTGTTCCATTGATCTATATCTCTGTTTTGGTACCAGTACCGTGCTGTTTTGGTTACTGTAGCCTTGTAGTATAGTTTGAAGTCAGGTAGTGTGATGCCTCCAGCTTTGTTCTTTTGGCTTAGGATTGACTTGGCGATGCGGGCTCTTTTTTGGTTTCATATGAACTTTAAAGTAGTTTTTTCCAATTCTGTGAAGAAAGTCATTGGTAGCTTGATGGGGATGGCATTGAATCTATAAATTACCTTGGGCAGTATGGCCATTTTCATGATATTGATTCTTCCTACCCATGAGCATGGAATGTTCTTCCATTTGTTTGTATCCTCTTTTATTTCATTGAGCAGTGGTTTGTAGTTCTCCTTGAAGAGGTCCTTCACATCCCTTGTGAGGTGGATTCCTAGGTATTTTATTCTCTTTGAAGCAATTGTGAATGGGAGTTCACTCATGATTTGGCCCTCTGTTTGTCTGTTATTGGTGTATAAGAATGCTTGTGATTTTTATACATTGATTTTGTATCCTGAGACTTTGCTGAAGTTGCTTATCAGCTTAAGGAGATTTTGGGCTGAGACAATGGGGTTTTCTAGGTATACAATCATGTCGTCTGCAAACGGGGACAATTTGACTTCCTCTTTTCCTAATTGAATACCCTTTATTTCCTTCTCCTACCTAATTGCCCTGGCCAGAACTTCCAAAACTATGTTGAATAGGAGTGGTGAGAAAGGGCATCCCTGTCTTGTGCCAGTTTTCAAAGGGAATGCTTCCAGTTTTTGCCCATTCAGTATGATATTGGCTGTGGGTTTGTCATAGATAGCTCTTATTCTTTTGAGATATGTCCCATCAATACCTAATTTATTGAGAGGTTTTAGCATGAAGCGTTGTTGAATTTTGTCTAAGGCCTTTTCTGCATCTATTGAGATAATCATGTGGTTTTTGTCTTTGGTTCTGTTTATATGCTGGATTACATTTATTGATTTGCGTATATTGAACCAGCCTTGCATCCCAGGGATGAAGCCCACCTGATCATAGTGGATAAGCTTTTTGATGTGCTGCTGGATTCGGTTTGCCAGTATTTTATTGAGGATTTTTGCATCAATGTTCATCAAGGATATTGGTCTAAAATTCTCTTTTTTGGTTGTGTCTCTGCCCGGCTTTGGTATCAGGATGATGGTGGCCTCATAAAATGAGTTAGGGAGGATTCCCTCTTTTTCTATCGATTGGAATAGTTTCAGAAGGAATGGTACCAGTTCCTCCTTGTACCTCAGGTAGAATTCAGCTGTGAATCCATCTGGTCCTGGACTCTTTTTGGTTGGTAAGCTATTGATTACTGCCTCAATTTCAGCTCCTGTTATTGGTCTATTCAGAGATTCAACTTCTTCCTGGTTTAGTCTTGGGAGAGTGTATGTGTCGAGGAATTTATCCATTTCTTCTAGATTTTCTAGTTTATTTGCATAGAGGTGTTTGTAGTAATCTCTGATGGTAATTTGTATTTCTGTGGGATCAGTGGTGATATCCCCTTTATCATTTTTTATTGCGTCTATTTGATTCTTCTCTCTTTTTTTCTTTATTAGTCTTGCTAGCAGTCTATCAATTTTGTTGATCCTTTCAAAAAACCAGCTCCTGGATTCATTGATTTTTTGAAGGGTTTTTTGTGTCTCTATGTCCTTCAGTTCTGCTCTGATTTTAGTTATTTCTTGCCTTCTGCTAGCTTTTGAATATGTTTGCTCTTGCTTTTCTAGTTCTTTTAATTGTGATGTTAGGGTGTCGATTTTGGATCTTTCCTGCTTTCTCTTGTGGGCATTTAGTGCTATAAATTTCCCTCTACACACTGCTTTGAATGTGTCCCAGAGATTCTGGTATGTCGTGTCTTTGTTCTTGTTGGTTTCAAAGAACATCTTTATTTCTGCCTTCATTTCATTATGTACCTAGTAGTCATTCAGGAGCAGGTTGTTCAGTTTCCATGTAGTTGAGCAGTGTTGAGTGAGTTTCTTAATCCTGAGTTCTAGTTTGATTGCACTGTGGTCTGAGAGATAGTTTGTTATAATTTCTGTTCTTTTACATTTGCTGAGGAGAGCTTTACTTCCAACTATGTGGTCAATTTTGGAATAGGTGTGGTGTGGTGCTGAAAAAAATGTATATTCTGTTGATTTGGGGTGGAGAATTCTGTATATGTCTATTAGGTCTGCTTGGTGCAGAGCTGAGTTCGATTCCTGGGTATCCTTGTTAACTTTCTGTCTCGTTGATCTGTCTAATGTTGACAGTGGGGTGTTAAAGTCTCCAATTATTAATGTGTGGGAGTCTAAGTCTCTTTGTAGGTCACTCAGGACTTGCTTTATGAATCTGGGTGCTCCTGTATTGGGTGCATATATATTTAGGTTAGTTAGCTCTTCTTGTTGAATTGATCCCTTTACCATTATGTAATGGCCTTCTTTGTCTCTTTTGATCTTTGTTGGTTTAAAATCTGTTTTATCAGAGACTAGGATTGCAAACCCTGCCTTTTTTAGTTTCCCATTTGCTTGGTAGATCTTCCTCCATCCTTTTATTTTGAGCCTATGTGTGTCTCTGCATGTGAGATGGGTTTGCTGAATACAGCACACTGATGGGTCTTGACTCTTTATCCAATTTGCCAGTCTGTGTCTTTTAATTGGAGCATTTAGTCCATTTACATTTAAAGTTAATATTGTTATGTGTGAATTTGATCCTGTCATTATGATGTTAGCTGGTTATTTTGCTCCTTAGTTGATGCAGTTTCTTCCTAGTCTCGATGGTCTTTATATTTTGGCATGATTTTGCAGCGGCTGGTACCGGTTGTTCCTTTCCATGTTTGGTGCTTCCTTCAGGAGCTCTTTTAGGGCAGGCTTGGTGGTGACAAAATCTCTCAGCATTTGCTTGTCTGTAAAGGATTTTATTTCTCCTTCACTTATGAAGCTTAGTTTGGCTGGATATGAAATTCTGGGTTGAAAATTCTTTTCTTTAAGAATGTTAAATATTGGCCCCCACTCTGTTCTGTCTCATAGAGTTTCTGCCGAGAGATCAGCTGTTAGTCTGATGGGTTTCCCTTTGTGGGTAACCCGACCTTTCTCTCTGGCTGCCCTTAACATTTTTTCCTTCATTTCAACTTTGGTGAATCTGACAATTATGTGTCTTGGAGTTGATCTTCTCGAGGAGTATCTCTGTGGCGTTCTCTGTATTTCCTGAATCTGAATGTTGGTCTGCCTTGCTAGATTGGGGAAGTTCTCCTGGATAATATCCTGCAGAGTGTTTTCCAACTTGGTTCCATTCTCCCTGTCACTTTCAGGTACACCAGTCAGACATAGATTTGGTCTTTTCACATAGTCCCATATTTCTTGGAGGCTTTGTTCGTTTCTTTTTGTTCTTTTTTCTCTAAACTTCCCTTCTCGCTTCATCATGTCATTCATTTCATCTTTCATCACTGGTACCCTTTCTTCCAGTTGATCACATCGGCTCCTGAGGCTTCTGCATTCTTCACATAGTTCTCGAGCCTTGGCTTTCAGCTCCATCAGCTCCTTTAAGCACTTCTCTGTATTGGTTATTCTAGTTATACATTCGTCTAAATTTTTTTCAAAGTTTTTAATTTCTTTGCCTTTGGTTTGAATTTCCTCCTGTAGCTCGTAGTTTGATCGTCTGAAGCCTTTTTCTCTCAACTCGTCAAAGTCATTCTCCGTCCAGCTTTGTTCCGTTGCTGGTGAGGAACTGCGTTCCTTTGGAAGAGGAGAGGTGCTCTGCTTTTTAGAGTTTCCAGTTTTTCTGCTCTGTTTTTTCCCCATCTTTGTGGTTTTATCTACTTTTGGTCTTTGATGATGGTGATGTACAGATGGGTTTTTGGTGTGGATGTCCTTTCTGTTTGTTAGTTTTCCTTCTGACAGA